>NC_000016.10:37762550-37946193 GCF_000001405.40 Homo sapiens
GGAAACGGGATTTCTTCATATAATGCTAGAGGGAAGAATTCTTAGTAACTTCTTTGTGTTGTGTGTATTCAACTGACAGAGTTGAACCTTCCTTTAGACAGAGCAGATTTGAAAGTCTCTTTTTGTGGAATTTGCAAGTGGAGATTTCAAGCGCTTTGAGGCCAAAAGCAGAAAAGGAAATATTTTCCTATAAAAACTAGACAGAATCTTTCTCAGAAACTGCTCTGGGATGTGTGCGTTCAACTCACAGAGTTTAACTTTTCTTTTCATTCAGCAGTTTGGAAACATTCTGTTTGGAAAGTCTCCACGTGGATATTTTGACCTCTTTGAGGCCTTCGTTGGAAACGGGTTTTTTTCATGTAAGGCTAGACAGAAGAAATCTCAGTAACTTCCTTGTGTTGTGTGTATTCAACTGACAGAGTTGAACCTTCCTTTAGACAGAGCAGATTCGAAACACTCTTTTTCTGCAATTTGCAAGTGGAGACTTCAAGCGCTTTGAGGCCAAAGGCAGAAAAGGAAATATCTTCGTATAAAAACCCGACAGAATCATTCTCAGAAACTGCTCTGTGATGTGTGCGTTCAACTCACAGAGTTTAACTTTTCTATTCATTCAGCAGTTTGGAAACACTCTGTTTGTAAAGTCTGCAAGTGGATATCTTGGCCTCTTAGAGGCCTTCGTTGGAAACGGGTTTTTTCATGTAAGGTTAGACAGAGGAATTCCCAGTAACTTCCCTTGTGTTGTGTGCATTCAACTCACAGAGTTGAATGATTCTTTACACAGAGCAGATTTGAGACACTCTTTTGGTGGAATTTGTAAGTGGAGAATTCAGCCGCTTTGAGGTCAACGGTAGAAAAGGAAATATCTTCGTATAAAAACTAGACAGAATGATTCTCAGAAACTGTTTTGTGATGTGTGCGTTCAACTCACAGAGTTTAACCTTTCTTTTCAAAGAGCAGTTAGGAAACACTCTGTTTGTAAAGTCTGCAAGTGGATATTCAGACCTCTTTGAGGCCTTCGTTGGAAACGGGATTTCTTCATATTATGCTAGACAGATGAATTCTCAGTAACTTCCTTGTGTTGTGTGTATTCAACTCACAGAGTTAAACGATCCTTTACACAGAGCAGATTTGAAACACTGTTTTTCTGGAATTTGCAAGTGGAGATTTCAGCTGCTTTGAGGTCAATGGTAGAAAAGGAAATATCTTCGTATAAAAACTAGACAGAATGATTCTCAGAAACTCCTTTGTGATGTGTGCGTTCAACTCACAGAGTTTAACCTTTCTTTTCACAGAGCAGTTAGGAAACACTCTGTTTGTGAAGCCTGCCAGTGGATATTCGGACCTCTTTGAGGCCTTCGTTGGAAACGGGATTTCTTCATATTATGCTAGACAGAAGATTTCTCAGTAACTTCTTTGTGTTGTGTGTATGCAACTCACAGAGTTCAACCTTCCTTTAGACAGAGCAGATTTGAAACACTCTTTTTGTGGAATTTGCAAGTGGAGATTTCAAGCGCTTCGATGCCAATGGTAGAAAAGGAAATATCTTCGTATAAAAACAAGACAAACTCGTTCCCAGACACTGCGTAGTGATGTGTGTGTTTAACTCACAGAGTTTAACCTTTCTTTTCATACAGCATTCTGGAAACCCTGTGTTTGTAAAGTCTGCAAGTGGATATTTGGACCTCTTAGATGCCTTCGTTGGAAACGGGATTTCTTCATATAATGCTAGAGGGAAGAATTCTTAGTAACTTCTTTGTGTTGTGTGTATTCAACTGACAGAGTTGAACCTTCCTTTAGACAGAGCAGATTTGAAAGTCTCTTTTTGTGGAATTTGCAAGTGGAGATTTCAAGCGCTTTGAGGCCAAAAGCAGAAAAGGAAATATTTTCCTATAAAAACTCGACAGAATCTTTCTCAGAAACTGCTCTGGGATGTGTGCGTTCAACTCACAGAGTTTAACTTTTCTTTTCATTCAGCAGTTTGGAAACACTCTGTTTGGAAAGTCTGCACGTGGATATTTTGACCTCTTTGAGGCCTTCGTTGGAAACGGGTTTTTTTCATGTAAGGCTAGACAGAAGAAATCTCAGTAACTTCCTTGTGTTGTGTGTATTCAACTGACAGAGTTGAACCTTCCTTTAGACAGAGCAGATTCGAAACACTCTTTTTCTGCAATTTGCAAGTGGAGACTTCAAGCGCTTTGAGGCCAAAGGCAGAAAAGGAAATATCTTCGTATAAAAACCCGACAGAATCATTCTCAGAAACTGCTCTGTGATGTGTGCGTTCAACTCACAGAGTTTAACTTTTCTTTTCATTCAGCAGTTTGGAAACACTCTGTTTGTAAAGTCTGCAAGTGGATATCTTGGCCTCTTAGAGGCCTTTGTTGGAAACGGGTTTTTTCATGTAAGGATAGACAGAGGAATTCCCAGTAACTTCCTTGTGTTGCGTGCATTCAACTCACAGAGTTGAATGATTCTTTACACAGAGCAGATTTGAGACACTCTTTTGGTGGAATTTGTAAGTGGAGAATTCAGCCGCTTTGAGGTCAACGGTAGAAAAGGAAATATCTTCGTATAAAAACTAGACAGAATGATTCTCAGAAACTGTTTTGTGATGTGTGCGTTCAACTCACAGAGTTTAACCTTTCTTTTCAAAGAGCAGTTAGGAAACACTCTGTAAAGTCTGCAAGTGGATATTCAGACCTCTTTGAGGCCTTCGTTGGAAACGGGATTTCTTCATATAATGCTAGAGGGATGAATTCTCAGTAACTTCCTTGTGTTGTGTGTATTCAACTCACAGAGTTGAACGATCCTTTACACAGAGCAGATTTGAAACACTGTTTTTCTGGAATTTGCAAGTGGAGATTTCAGCCGCTTTGAGGTCAATGGTAGAAAAGGAAATATCTTCGTATAAAAACTGGACAGAATGATTCTCAGAAACTCCTTTGTGATGTGTGCGTTCAACTCACAGAGTTTAACCTTTCTTTTCACAGAGCAGTTAGGAAACACTCTGTTTGTGAAGCCTGCCAGTGGATATTCGGACCTCTTTGAGGCCTTCGTTGGAAACGGGATTTCTTCATATTATGCTAGACAGAAGATTTCTCAGTAACTTCTTTGTGTTGTGTGTATGCAACTCACAGAGTTCAACCTTCCTTTAGACAGAGCAGATTTGAAACACTCTTTTTGTGGAATTTGCAAGTGGAGATTTCAAGCGCTTCGATGCCAATGGTAGAAAAGGAAATATCTTCGTATAAAAACAAGACAAACTCGTTCCCAGACACTGCGTAGTGATGTGTGTGTTTAACTCACAGAGTTTCACCTTTCTTTTCATACAGCATTCTGGAAACCCTCTGTTTGTAAAGTCTGCAAGTGGATATTTGGACCTCTTAGATGCCTTCGTTGGAAACGGTATTTCTTCATATAATGCTAGAGGGAAGAATTCTTAGTAACTTCTTTGTGTTGTGTGTATTCAACTGACAGAGTTGAACCTTCCTTTAGACAGAGCAGATTTGAAAGTCTCTTTTTGTGGAATTTGCAAGTGGAGATTTCAAGCGCTTTGAGGCCAAAAGCAGAAAAGGAAATATTTTCCTATAAAAACTAGACAGAATCTTTCTCAGAAACTGCTCTGGGATGTGTGCGTTCAACTCACAGAGTTTAACTTTTCTTTTCATTCAGCAGTTTGGAAACACTCTGTTTGGAAAGTCTGCACGTGGATATTTTGACCTCTTTGAGGCCTTCGTTGGAAACGGGTTTTTTTCATGTAAGGCTAGACAGAAGAAATCTCAGTAACTTCCTTGTGTTGTGTGTATTCAACTGACAGAGTTGAACCTTCCTTTAGACAGAGCAGATTCGAAACACTCTTTTTCTGCAATTTGCAAGTGGAGACTTCAAGCGCTTTGAGGCCAAAGGCAGAAAAGGAAATATCTTCGTATAAAAACCCGACAGAATCATTCTCAGAAACTGCTCTGTGATGTGTGCGTTCAACTCACAGAGTTTAACTTTTCTTTTCATTCAGCAGTTTGGAAACACTCTGTTTGTAAAGTCTGCAAGTGGATATCTTGGCCTCTTAGAGGCCTTCGTTGGAAACGGGTTTTTTCATGTAAGGTTAGACAGAGGAATTCCCAGTAACTTCCTTGTGTTGTGTGCATTCAACTCACAGAGTTGAATGATTCTTTACACAGAGCAGATTTGAGACACACTTTTGGTGGAATTTGTAAGTGGAGAATTCAGCCGCTTTGAGGTCAACGGTAGAAAAGGAAATATCTTCGTATAAAAACTAGACAGAATGATTCTCAGAAACTGTTTTGTGATGTGTGCGTTCAACTCACAGAGTTTAACCTTTCTTTTCAAAGAGCAGTTAGGAAACACTCTGTTTGTAAAGTCTGCAAGTGGATATTCAGACCTCTTTGAGGCCTTCATTGGAAACGGGATTTCTTCATATTATGCTAGACAGAAGAATTCTCAGTAACTTCCTTGTGTTGTGTGTATTCAACTCACAGAGTTGAACGATCCTTTACACAGAGAAGATTTGAAACACTGTTTTTCTGGAATTTGCAAGTGGAGATTTCAGCCGCTTTGAGGTCAATGGTAGAAAAAGAAATATCTTCGTATAAAAACTAGACAGAATGATTCTCAGAAACTCCTTTGTGATGTGTGCGTTCAACTCACAGAGTTTAACCTTTCTTTTCACAGAGCAGTTAGGAAACACTCTGTTTGTGAAGCCTGCCAGTGGATATTCGGACCTCTTTGAGGCCTTCGTTGGAAACGGGATTTCTTCATATTATGCTAGACAGAAGATTTCTCAGTAACTTCTTTGTGTTGTGTGTATGCAACTCACAGAGTTCAACCTTCCTTTAGACAGAGCAGATTTGAAACACTCTTTTTGTGGAATTTGCAAGTGGAGATTTCAAGCGCTTCGATGCCAATGGTAGAAAAGGAAATATCTTCGTATAAAAACAAGACAAACTCGTTCCCAGACACTGCGTAGTGATGTGTGTGTTTAACTCACAGAGTTTCACCTTTCTTTTCATACAGCATTCTGGAAACCCTGTGTTTGTAAAGTCTGCAAGTGGATATTTGGACCTCTTAGATGCCTTCGTTGGAAACGGGATTTCTTCATATAATGCTAGAGGGAAGAATTCTTAGTAACTTCTTTGTGTTGTGTGTATTCAACTGACAGAGTTGAACCTTCCTTTAGACAGAGCAGATTTGAAAGTCTCTTTTTGTGGAATTTGCAAGTGGAGATTTCAAGCGCTTTGAGGCCAAAAGCAGAAAAGGAAATATTTTCCTATAAAAACTCGACAGAATCTTTCTCAGAAACTGCTCTGGGATGTGTGCGTTCAACTCACAGAGTTTAACTTTTCTTTTCATTCAGCAGTTTGGAAACACTCTGTTTGGAAAGTCTGCACGTGGATATTTTGACCTCTTTGAGGCCTTCGTTGGAAACGGGTTTTTTTCATGTAAGGCTAGACAGAAGAAATCTCAGTAACTTCCTTGTGTTGTGTGTATTCAACTGACAGAGTTGAACCTTCCTTTAGACAGAGCAGATTCGAAACACTCTTTTTCTGCAATTTGCAAGTGGAGACTTCAAGCGCTTTGAGGCCAAAGGCAGAAAAGGAAATATCTTCGTATAAAAACCCGACAGAATCATTCTCAGAAACTGCTCTGTGATGTGTGCGTTCAACTCACAGAGTTTAACTTTTCTTTTCATTCAGCAGTTTGGAAACACTCTGTTTGTAAAGTCTGCAAGTGGATATCTTGGCCTCTTAGAGGCCTTCGTTGGAAACGGGTTTTATCATGTAAGGTTAGACAGAGGAATTCCCAGTAACTTCCTTGTGTTGTGTGCATTCAACTCACAGAGTTGAATGATTCTTTACACAGAGCAGATTTGAGACACTCTTTTGGTGGAATTTGTAAGTGGAGAATTCAGCCGCTTTGACGTCAACGGTAGAAAAGGAAATATCTTCCTATAAAAACTAGACAGAATGATTCTCAGAAACTGTTTTGTGATGTGTGCTTTCAACTCACAGAGTTTAACCTTTCTTTTCAAAGAGCAGTTAGGAAACACTCTGTTTGTAAAGTCTGCAAGTGGATATTCAGACCTCTTTGAGGCCTTCGTTGGAAACGGGATTTCTTCATATTATGCTAGACAGATGAATTCTCAGTAACTTCCTTGTGTTGTGTGTATTCAACTCACAGAGTTGAACGATCCTTTACACAGAGCAGATTTGAAACACTGTTTTTCTGGAATTTGCAAGTGGAGATTTCAGCCGCTTTGAGGTCAATGGTAGAAAAGGAAATATCTTCGTATAAAAACTAGACAGAATGATTCTCAGAAACTCCTTTGTGATGTGTGCGTTCAACTCACAGAGTTTAACCTTTCTTTTCACAGAGCAGTTAGGAAACACTCTGTTTGTGAAGCCTGCCAGTGGATATTCGGACCTCTTTGAGGCCTTCGTTGGAAACGGGATTTCTTCATATTATGCTAGACAGAAGATTTCTCAGTAACTTCTTTGTGTTGTGTGTATGCAACTCACAGAGTTCAACCTTCCTTTAGACAGAGCAGATTTGAAACACTCTTTTTGTGGAATTTGCAAGTGGAGATTTCAAGCGCTTCGATGCCAATGGTAGAAAAGGAAATATCTTCGTATAAAAACAAGACAAACTCGTTCCCAGACACTGCGTAGTGATGTGTGTGTTTAACTCACAGAGTTTAACCTTTCTTTTCATACAGCATTCTGGAAACCCTGTGTTTGTAAAGTCTGCAAGTGGATATTTGGACCTCTTAGATGCCTTCGTTGGAAACGGGATTTCTTCATATAATGCTAGAGGGAAGAATTCTTAGTAACTTCTTTGTGTTGTGTGTATTCAACTGACAGAGTTGAACCTTCCTTTAGACAGAGCAGATTTGAAAGTCTCTTTTTGTGGAATTTGCAAGTGGAGATTTCAAGCGCTTTGAGGCCAAAAGCAGAAAAGGAAATATTTTCCTATAAAAACTAGACAGAATCTTTCTCAGAAACTGCTCTGGGATGTGTGCGTTCAACTCACAGAGTTTAACTTTTCTTTTCATTCAGCAGTTTGGAAACACTCTGTTTGGAAAGTCTGCACGTGGATATTTTGACCTCTTTGAGGCCTTCGTTGGAAACGGGTTTTTTTCATGTAAGGCTAGACAGAAGAAATCTCAGTAACTTCCTTGTGTTGTGTGTATTCAACTGACAGAGTTGAACCTTCCTTTAGACAGAGCAGATTCGAAACACTCTTTTTCTGCAATTTGCAAGTGGAGACTTCAAGCGCTTTGAGGCCAAAGGCAGAAAAGGAAATATCTTCGTATAAAAACCCGACAGAATCATTCTCAGAAACTGCTCTGTGATGTGTGCGTTCAACTCACAGAGTTTAACTTTTCTTTTCATTCAGCAGTTTGGAAACACTCTGTTTGTAAAGTCTGCAAGTGGATATCTTGGCCTCTTAGAGGCCTTCGTTGGAAACGGGTTTTTTCATGTAAGGTTAGACAGAGGAATTCCCAGTAACTTCCTTGTGTTGTGTGCACTCAACTCACAGAGTTGAATGATTCTTTACACAGAGCAGATTTGAGACACTCTTTTGGTGGAATTTGTAAGTGGAGAATTCAGCCGATTTGAGGTCAATGGTACAAAAGGAAATATCTTCGTATAAAAACTAGACAGAATGATTCTCAGAAACTGTTTTGTGATGTGTGCGTTCAACTCACAGAGTTTAACCTTTCTTTTCAAAGAGCAGTTAAGAAACACTCTGTTTGTAAAGTCTGCAAGTGGATATTCATACCTCTTTGAGGCGTTCTTTGGAAACGGGATTTCTTCATATTATGCTAAGACAGATGAATTCTCAGTAACTTCCTTGTGTTGTGTGTATTCAACTCACAGAGTTGAACGATCCTTTACACAGAGCAGATTTGAAACACTGTTTTTCTGGAATTTGCAAGTGGAGATTTCAGCCGCTTTGAGGTCAATGGTAGAAAAGGAAATATCTTCGTATAAAAACTAGACAGAATGATTCTCAGAAACTCCTTTGTGATGTGTGCGTTCAACTTACAGAGTTTAACCTTTCTTTTCACTGAGCAGTTAGGAAACACTCTGTTTGTGAAGCCTGCCAGTGGATAATCGGACCTCTTTGAGGCCTTCGTTGGAAACGGGATTTCTTCATATTATGCTAGACAGAAGATTTCTCAGTAACTTCTTTGTGTTGTGTGTATGCAACTCACAGAGTTCAACCTTCCTTTAGAGAGAGCATATTTGAAACACTCTTTTTGTGGAATTTGCAAGTGGAGATTTCAAGCGCTTCGATGCCAATGGTAGAAAAGGAAATATCTTCGTATAAAAACAAGACAAACTCGTTCCCAGACACTGCGTAGTGATGTGTGTGTTTAACTCACAGAGTTTAACCTTTCTTTTCATACAGCATTCTGGAAACCCTGTGTTTGTAAAGTCTGCAAGTGGATATTTGGACCTCTTAGATGCCTTCGTTGGAAACGGGATTTCTTCATATAATGCTAGAGGGAAGAATTCTTAGTAACTTCTTTGTGTTGTGTGTATTCAACTGACAGAGTTGAACCTTCCTTTAGACAGAGCAGATTTGAAAGTCTCTTTTTGTGGAATTTGCAAGTGGAGATTTCAAGCGCTTTGAGGCCAAAAGCAGAAAAGGAAATATTTTCCTATAAAAACTCGACAGAATCTTTCTCAGAAACTGCTCTGGGATGTGTGCGTTCAACTCACAGAGTTTAACTTTTCTTTTCATTCAGCAGTTTGGAAACACTCTGTTTGGAAAGTCTGCACGTGGATATTTTGACCTCTTTGAGGCCTTCGTTGGAAACGGGTTTTTTTCATGTAAGGCTAGACAGAAGAAATCTCAGTAACTTCCTTGTGTTGTGTGTATTCAACTGACAGAGTTGAACCTTCCTTTAGACAGAGCAGATTCGAAACACTCTTTTTCTGCAATTTGCAAGTGGAGACTTCAAGCGCTTTGAGGCCAAAGGCAGAAAAGGAAATATCTTCGTATAAAAACCCGACAGAATCATTCTCAGAAACTGCTCTGTGATGTGTGCGTTCAACTCACAGAGTTTAACTTTTCTTTTCATTCAGCAGTTTGGAAACACTCTGTTTGTAAAGTCTGCAAGTGGATATCTTGGCCTCTTAGAGGCCTTCGTTGGAAACGGGTTTTTTCATGTAAGGTTAGACAGAGGAATTCCCAGTAACTTCCCTTGTGTTGTGTGCATTCAACTCACAGAGTTGAATGATTCTTTACACAGAGCAGATTTGAGACACTCTTTTGGTGGAATTTGTAAGTGGAGAATTCAGCTGCTTTGAGGTCAACGGTAGAAAAGGAAATATCTTCGTATAAAAACTAGACAGAATGATTCTCAGAAACTGTTTTGTGATGTGTGCGTTCAACTCACAGAGTTTAACCTTTCTTTTCAAAGAGCAGTTAGGAAACACTCTGTTTGTAAAGTCTGCAAGTGGATATTCAGACCTCTTTGAGGCCTTCGTTGGAAACGGGATTTCTTCATATTATGCTAGACAGATGAATTCTCAGTAACTTCCTTGTGTTGTGTGTATTCAACTCACAGAGTTAAACGATCCTTTACACAGAGCAGATTTGAAACACTGTTTTTCTGGAATTTGCAAGTGAAGATTTCAGCCGCTTTGAGGTCAATGGTAGAAAAGGAAATATCTTCGTATAAAAACTAGACAGAATGATTCTCAGAAACTCCTTTGTGATGTGTGCGTTCAACTCACAGAGTTTAACCTTTCTTTTCACAGAGCAGTTAGGAAACACTCTGTTTGTGAAGCCTGCCAGTGGATATTCGGACCTCTTTGAGGCCTTCGTTGGAAACGGGATTTCTTCATATTATGCTAGACAGAAGATTTCTCAGTAACTTCTTTGTGTTGTGTGTATGCAACTCACAGAGTTCAACCTTCCTTTAGACAGAGCAGATTTGAAACACTCTTTTTGTGGAATTTGCAAGTGGAGATTTCAAGCGCTTCGATGCCAATGGTAGAAAAGGAAATATCTTCGTAGAAAAACAAGACAAACTCGTTCCCAGACACTGCGTAGTGATGTGTGTGTTTAACTCACAGAGTTTCACCTTTCTTTTCATACAGCATTCTGGAAACCCTCTGTTTGTAAAGTCTGCAAGTGGATATTTGGACCTCTTAGATGCCTTCGTTGGAAACGGGATTTCTTCATATAATGCTAGAGGGAAGAATTCTTAGTAACTTCTTTGTGTTGTGTGTATTCAACTGACAGAGTTGAACCTTTCCTTTAGACAGAGCAGATTTGAAAGTCTCTTTTTGTGGAATTTGCAAGTGGAGATTTCAAGCGCTTTGAGGCCAAAAGCAGAAAAGGAAATATTTTCCTATAAAAACTAGACAGAATCATTCTCAGAAACTGCTCTGTGATGTGTGCGTTCAACTCACAGAGTTTAACTTTTCTTTTCATTCAGCAGTTTGGAAACACTGTTTGGAAAGTCTGCACGTGGATATTTTGACCTCTTTGAGGCCTTCGTTGGAAACGGGTTTTTTTCATGTAAGGCTAGACAGAAGAAATCTCAGTAACTTCCTTGTGTTGTGTGTATTCAACTGACAGAGTTGAACCTTCCTTTAGACAGAGCAGATTCGAAACTCTCTTTTTCTGCAATTTGCAAGTGGAGACTTCAAGCGCTTTGAGGCCAAAGGCAGAAAAGGAAATATCTTCGTATAAAAACCCGACAGAATCATTCTCAGAAACTGCTCTGTGATGTGTGCGTTCAACTCACAGAGTTTAACTTTTCTTTTCATTCAGCAGTTTGGAAACACTCTGTTTGTAAAGTCTGCAAGTGGATATCTTGGCCTCTTAGAGGCCTTCGTTGGAAACGGGTTTTTTCATGTAAGGTTAGACAGAGGAATTCCCAGTAACTTCCTTGTGTTGTGTGCATTCAACTCACAGAGTTGAATGATTCTTTACACAGAGCAGATTTGAGACACTCTTTTGGTGGAATTTGTAAGTGGAGAATTCAGCCGCTTTGAGGTCAACGGTAGAAAAGGAAATATCTTCGTATAAAAACTAGACAGAATGATTCTCAGAAACTGTTTTGTGATGTGTGCGTTCAACTCACAGAGTTTAACCTTTCTTTTCAGAGAGCAGTTAGGAAACACTCTGTTTGTAAAGTCTGCAAGTGGATATTCAGACCTCTTTGAGGCCTTCGTTGGAAACGGGATTTCTTCATATTATGCTAGACAGATGAATTCTCAGTAACTTCCTTGTGTTGTGTGTATTCAACTCACAGAGTTGAACGATCCTTTACACAGAGCAGATTTGAAACACTGTTTTTCTGGAATTTGCAAGTGGAGATTTCAGCCGATTTGAGGTCAATGGTTGAAAAGGAAATATCTTCGTATAAAAACTAGACAGAATGATTCTCAGAAACTCCTTTGTGATGTGTGCGTTCAACTCACAGAGTTTAACCTTTCTTTTCACAGAGCAGTTAGGAAACACTCTGTTTGTGAAGCCTGCCAGTGGATATTCGGACCTCTTTGAGGCCTTCGTTGGAAACGGGATTTCTTCATATTATGCTAGACAGAAGATTTCTCAGTAACTTCTTTGTGTTGTGTGTATGCAACTCACAGAGTTCAACCTTCCTTTAGACAGAGCAGATTTGAAACACTCTTTTTGTGGAATTTGCAAGTGGAGATTTCAAGCGCTTCGATGCCAATGGTAGAAAAGGAAATATCTTCGTATAAAAACAAGACAAACTCGTTCCCAGACACTGCGTAGTGATGTGTGTGTTTAACTCACAGAGTTTCACCTTTCTTTTCATACAGCATTCTGGAAACCCTCTGTTTGTAAAGTCTGCAAGTGGATATTTGGACCTCTTAGATGCCTTCGTTGGAAACGGGATTTCTTCATATAATGCTAGAGGGAAGAATTCTTAGTAACTTCTTTGTGTTGTGTGTATTCAACTGACAGAGTTGAACCTTCCTTTAGACAGAGCAGATTTGAAAGTCTCTTTTTGTGGAATTTGCAAGTGGAGATTTCAAGCGCTTTGAGGCCAAAAGCAGAAAAGGAAATATTTTCCTATAAAAACTAGACAGAATCATTCTCAGAAACTGCTCTGTGATGTGTGTGTTCAACTCACAGAGTTTAACTTTCTTTTCATTCAGCAGTTTGGAAACACTCTGTTTGGAAAGTCTGCACGTGGATATTTTGACCTCTTTGTGGCCTTCGTTGGAAACGGTTTTTTTCATGTAAGGCTAGACAGAAGAAATCTCAGTAACTTCCTTGTGTTGTGTGTATTCAACTGACAGAGTTGAACCTTCCTTTAGACAGAGCAGATTCGAAACACTCTTTTTCTGCAATTTGCAAGTGGAGACTTCAAGCGCTTTGAGGCCAAAGGCAGAAAAGGAAATATCTTCGTATAAAAACCCGACAGAATCATTCTCAGAAACTGCTCTGTGATGTGTGCGTTCAACTCACAGAGTTTAACTTTTCTTTTCATTCAGCAGTTTGGAAACACTCTGTTTGTAAAGTCTGCAAGTGGATATCTTGGCCTCTTAGAGGCCTTCGTTGGAAACGGGTTTTTTCATGTAAGGTTAGACAGAGGAATTCCCAGTAACTTCCTTGTGTTGTGTGCATTCAACTCACAGAGTTGAATGATTCTTTACACAGAGCAGATTTGAGACACTCTTTTGGTGGAATTTGTAAGTGGAGAATTCAGCCGCTTTGAGGTCAACGGTAGAAAAGGAAATATCTTCGTATAAAAACTAGACAGAATGATTCTCAGAAACTGTTTTGTGATGTGTGCGTTCAACTCACAGAGTTTAACCTTTCTTTTCAAAGAGCAGTTAGGAAACACTCTGTTTGTAAAGTCTGCAAGAGGATATTCAGACCTCTTTGAGGCCTTCGTTGGAAACGGGATTTCTTCATATTATGCTAGACAGATGAATTCTCAGTAACTTCCTTGTGTTGTGTGTATTCAACTCACAGAGTTGAACGATCCTTTACACAGAGCAGATTTGAAACACTGTTTTTCTGGAATTTGCAAGTGGAGATTTCAGCCGCTTTGAGGTCAATGGTAGAAAAGGAAATATCTTCTGTATAAAAACTAGACAGAATGATTCTCAGAAACTCCTTTGTGATGTGTGCGTTCAACTCACAGAGTTTAACCTTTCTTTTCACAGAGCAGTTAGGAAACACTCTGTTTGTGAAGCCTGCCAGTGGATATTCGGACCTCTTTGAGGCCTTCGTTGGAAACGGGATTTCTTCATATTATGCTAGACAGAAGATTTCTCAGTAACTTCTTTGTGTTGTGTGTATGCAACTCACAGAGTTGAACCTTCCTTTAGACAGAGCAGATTTGAAACACTCTTTTTGTGGAATTTGCAAGTGGAGATTTCAAGCGCTTCGATGCCAATGGTAGAAAAGGAAATATCTTCGTATAAAAACAAGACAAACTCGTTCCCAGACACTGCGTAGTGATGTGTGTGTTTAACTCACAGAGTTTAACCTTTCTTTTCATACAGCATTCTGGAAACCCTGTGTTTGTAAAGTCTGCAAGTGGATATTTGGACCTCTTAGATGCCTTCGTTGGAAACGGGATTTCTTCATATAATGCTAGAGGGAAGAATTCTTAGTAACTTCTTTGTGTTGTGTGTATTCAACTGACAGAGTTGAACCTTCCTTTAGACAGAGCAGATTTGAAAGTCTCTTTTTGTGGAATTTGCAAGTGGAGATTTCAAGCGCTTTGAGGCCAAAAGCAGAAAAGGAAATATTTTCCTATAAAAACTAGACAGAATCTTTCTCAGAAACTGCTCTGGGATGTGTGCGTTCAACTCACAGAGTTTAACTTTTCTTTTCATTCAGCAGTTTGGAAACACTCTGTTTGGAAAGTCTGCACGTGGATATTTTGACCTCTTTGAGGCCTTCGTTGGAAACGGGTTTTTTTCATGTAAGGCTAGACAGAAGAAATCTCAGTAACTTCCTTGTGTTGTGTGTATTCAACTGACAGAGTTGAACCTTCCTTTAGACAGAGCAGATTCGAAACACTCTTTTTCTGCAATTTGCAAGTGGAGACTTCAAGCGCTTTGAGGCCAAAGGCAGAAAAGGAAATATCTTCGTATAAAAACCCGACAGAATCATTCTCAGAAACTGCTCTGTGATGTGTGCGTTCAACTCACAGAGTTTAACTTTTCTTTTCATTCAGCAGTTTGGAAACACTCTGTTTGTAAAGTCTGCAAGTGGATATCTTGGCCTCTTAGAGGCCTTCGTTGGAAACGGGTTTTTTCATGTAAGGATAGACACAGGAATTCCCAGTAACTTCCTTGTGTTGTGTGCATTCAACTCACAGAGTTGAATGATTCTTTACACAGAGCAGTTTTGAGACACTCTTTTGGTTGAATTTGTAAGTGGAGAATTCAGCCGCTTTGAGGTCAACGGTAGAAAAGGAAATATCTTCGTATAAAAACTAGACAGAATGATTCTCAGAAACTGTTTTGTGATGTGTGCGTTCAACTCACAGAGTTTAACCTTTCTTTTCAAAGAGCAGTTAGGAAACACTCTGTTTGTAAAGTCTGCAAGAGGATATTCAGACCTCTTTGAGGCCTTCGTTGGAAACGGGATTTCTTCATATTATGCTAGACAGATGAATTCTCAGTAACTTCCTTGTGTTGTGTGTATTCAACTCACAGAGTTGAACGATCCTTTACACAGAGCAGATTTGAAACACTGTTTTTCTGGAATTTGCAAGTGGAGATTTCAGCCGCTTTGAGGTCAATGGTAGAAAAGGAAATATCTTCGTATAAAAACTAGACAGAATGATTCTCAGAAACTCCTTTGTGATGTGTGCGTTCAACTCACAGAGTTTAACCTTTCTTTTCACAGAGCAGTTAGGAAACACTCTGTTTGTGAAGCCTGCCAGTGGATATTCGGACCTCTTTGAGGCCTTCGTTGGAAACGGGATTTCTTCATATTATGCTAGACAGAAGATTTCTCAGTAACTTCTTTGTGTTGTGTGTATGCAACTCACAGAGTTCAACCTTCCTTTAGACAGAGCAGATTTGAAACACTCTTTTTGTGGAATTTGCAAGTGGAGATTTCAAGCGCTTCGATGCCAATGGTAGAAAAGGAAATATCTTCGTATAAAAACAAGACAAACTCGTTCCCAGACACTGCGTAGTGATGTGTGTGTTTAACTCACAGAGTTTAACCTTTCTTTTCATACAGCATTCTGGAAACCCTCTGTTTGTAAAGTCTGCAAGTGGATATTTGGACCTCTTAGATGCCTTCGTTGGGAACGGGATTTCTTCATATAATGCTAGAGGGAAGAATTCTTAGTAACTTCTTTGTGTTGTGTGTATTCAACTGACAGAGTTGAACCTTCCTTTAGACAGAGCAGATTTGAAAGTCTCTTTTTGTGGAATTTGCAAGTGGAGATTTCAAGCGCTTTGAGGCCGAAAGCAGAAAAGGAAATATTTTCCTATAAAAACTCGACAGAATCTTTCTCAGAAACTGCTCTGGGATGTGTGCGTTCAACTCACAGAGTTTAACTTTTCTTTTCATTCAGCAGTTTGGAAACACTCTGTTTGGAAAGTCTGCACGTGGATATTTTGACCTCTTTGAGGCCTTCGTTGGAAACGGGTTTTTTTCATGTAAGGCTAGACAGAAGAAATCTCAGTAACTTCCTTGTGTTGTGTGTATTCAACTGACAGAGTTGAACCTTCCTTTAGACAGAGCAGATTCGAAACACTCTTTTTCTGCAATTTGCAAGTGGAGACTTCAAGCGCTTTGAGGCCAAAGGCAGAAAAGGAAATATCTTCGTATAAAAACCCGACAGAATCATTCTCAGAAACTGCTCTGTGATGTGTGCGTTCAACTCACAGAGTTTAACTTTTCTTTTCATTCAGCAGTTTGGAAACACTCTGTTTGTAAAGTCTGCAAGTGGATATCTTGGCCTCTTAGAGGCCTTCGTTGGAAACGGGTTTTTTCATGTAAGGTTAGACAGAGGAATTCCCAGTAACTTCCTTGTGTTGTGTGCATTCAACTCACAGAGTTGAATGATTCTTTACACAGAGCAGATTTGAGACACTCTTTTGGTGGAATTTGTAAGTGGAGAATTCAGCTGCTTTGAGGTCAACGGTAGAAAAGGAAATATCTTCGTATAAAAACTAGACAGAATGATTCTCAGAAACTGTTTTGTGATGTGTGCGTTCAACTCACAGAGTTTAACCTTTCTTTTCAAAGAGCAGTTAGGAAACACTCTGTTTGTAAAGTCTGCAAGTGGATATTCAGACCTCTTTGAGGCCTTCGTTGGAAACGGGATTTCTTCATATTATACTAGACAGATGAATTCTCAGTAACTTCCTTGTGTTGTGTGTATTCAACTCACAGAGTTGAACGATCCTTTACACAGAGCAGATTTGAAACACTGTTTTTCTGGAATTTGCAAGTGGAGATTTCAGCCGCTTTGAGGTCAATGGTAGAAAAAGAAATATCTTCGTATAAAAACTAGACAGAATGATTCTCAGAAACTCCTTTGTGATGTGTGCGTTCAACTCACAGAGTTTAACCTTTCTTTTCACAGAGCAGTTAGGAAACACTCTGTTTGTGAAGCCTGCCAGTGGATATTCAGACCTCTTTGAGGCCTTCGTTGGAAACGGGATTTCTTCATATTATGCTAGACAGAAGATTTCTCAGTAACTTCTTTGTGTTGTGTGTATGCAACTCACAGAGTTCAACCTTCCTTTAGACAGAGCAGATTTGAAACACTCTTTTTGTGGAATTTGCAAGTGGAGATTTCAAGCGCTTCGATGCCAATGGTAGAAAAGGAAATATCTTCGTATAAAAACAAGACAAACTCGTTCCCAGACACTGCGTAGTGATGTGTGTGTTTAACTCACAGAGTTTCACCTTTCTTTACATACAGCATTCTGGAAACCCTCTGTTTGTAAAGTCTGCAAGTGGATATTTGGACCTCTTAGATGCCTTCGTTGGAAACGGGATTTCTTCATATAATGCTAGAGGGAAGAATTCTTAGTAACTTCTTTGTGTTGTGTGTATTCAACTGACAGAGTTGAACCTTCCTTTAGACAGAGCAGATTTGAAAGTCTCTTTTTGTGGAATTTGCAAGTGGAGATTTCAAGCGCTTTGAGGCCAAAAGCAGAAAAGGAAATATTTTCCTATAAAAACTCGACAGAATCTTTCTCAGAAACTGCTCTGGGATGTGTGCGTTCAACTCACAGAGTTTAACTTTTCTTTTCATTCAGCAGTTTGGAAACACTCTGTTTGGAAAGTCTGCACGTGGATATTTTGACCTCTTTGAGGCCTTCGTTGGAAACGGGTTTTTTTCATGTAAGGCTAGACAGAAGAAATCTCAGTAACTTTCCTTGTGTTGTGTGTATTCAACTGACAGAGTTGAACCTTCTTTTAGACAGAGCAGATTCGAAACACTCTTTTTCTGCAATTTGCAAGTGGAGACTTCAAGCGCTTTGAGGCCAAAGGCAGAAAAGGAAATATCTTCGTATAAAAACCCGACAGAATCATTCTCAGAAACTGCTCTGTGATGTGTGCGTTCAACTCACAGAGTTTAACTTTTCTTTTCATTCAGCAGTTTGGAAACACTCTGTTTGTAAAGTCTGCAAGTGGATATCTTGGCCTCTTAGAGGCCTTCGTTGGAAACGGGTTTTTTCATGTAAGGTTAGACAGAGGAATTCCCAGTAACTTCCTTGTGTTGTGTGCATTCAACTCACAGAGTTGAATGATTCTTTACACAGAGCAGATTTGAGACACTCTTTTGGTGGAATTTGTAAGTGGAGAATTCAGCCGCTTTGAGGTCAACGGTAGAAAAGGAAATATCTTCGTATAAAAACTAGACAGAATGATTCTCAGAAACTGTTTTGTGATGTGTGCGTTCAACTCACAGAGTTTAACCTTTCTTTTCAAAGAGCAGTTAGGAAACACTCTGTTTGTAAAGTCTGCAAGTGGATATTCAGACCTCTTTGAGGCCTTCGTTGGAAACGGGATTTCTTCATATTATGCTAGACAGATGAATTCTCAGTAACTTCCTTGTGTTGTGTGTATTCAACTCACAGAGTTGAACGATCCTTTACACAGAGCAGATTTGAAACACTGTTTTTCTGGAATTTGCAAGTGGAGATTTCAGCCGCTTTGAGGTCAATGGTAGAAAAGGAAATATCTTCGTATAAAAACTAGACAGAATGATTCTCAGAAACTCCTTTGTGATGTGTGCGTTCAACTCACAGAGTTTAACCTTTCTTTTCACAGAGCAGTTAGGAAACACTCTGTTTGTGAAGCCTGCCAGTGGATATTCGGACCTCTTTGAGGCCTTCGTTGGAAACGGGATTTCTTCATATTATGCTAGACAGAAGATTTCTCAGTAACTACTTTGTGTTGTGTGTATGCAACTCACAGAGTTCAACCTTCCTTTAGACAGAGCAGATTTGAAACACTCTTTTTGTGGAATTTGCAAGTGGAGATTTCAAGCGCTTCGATGCCAATGGTAGAAAAGGAAATATCTTCGTATAAAAACAAGACAAACTCGTTCCCAGACACTGCGTAGTGATGTGTGTGTTTAACTCACAGAGTTTCACCTTTCTTTTCATACAGCATTCTGGAAACCCTGTGTTTGTAAAGTCTGCAAGTGGATATTTGGACCTCTTAGATGCCTTCGTTGGAAACGGGATTTCTTCATATAATGCTAGAGGGAAGAATTCTTAGTAACTTCCTTTGTGTTGTGTGTATTCAACTGACAGAGTTGAACCTTCCTTTAGACAGAGCAGATTTGAAAGTCTCTTTTTGTGGAATTTGCAAGTGGAGATTTCAAGCGCTTTGAGGCCAAAAGCAGAAAAGGAAATATTTTCCTATAAAAACTCGACAGAATCTTTCTCAGAAACTGCTCTGGGATGTGTGCGTTCAACTCACAGAGTTTAACTTTTCTTTTCATTCAGCAGTTTGGAAACACTCTGTTTGGAAAGTCTGCACGTGGATATTTTGACCTCTTTGAGGCCTTCGTTGGAAACGGGTTTTTTTCATGTAAGGCTAGACAGAAGAAATCTCAGTAACTTCCTTGTGTTGTGTGTATTCAACTGACAGAGTTGAACCTTCCTTTAGACAGAGCAGATTCGAAACACTCTTTTTCTGCAATTTGCAAGTGGAGACTTCAAGCGCTTTGAGGCCAAAGGCAGAAAAGGAAATATCTTCGTATAAAAACCCGACAGAATCATTCTCAGAAACTGCTCTGTGATGTGTGCGTTCAACTCACAGAGTTTAACTTTTCTTTTCATTCAGCAGTTTGGAAACACTCTGTTTGTAAAGTCTGCAAGTGGATATCTTGGCCTCTTAGAGGCCTTCGTTGGAAACGGGTTTTTTCATGTAAGGATAGACAGAGGAATTCCCAGTAACTTCCTTGTGTTGTGTGCATTCAACTCACAGAGTTGAATGATTCTTTACACAGAGCAGATTTGAGACACTCTTTTGGTGCAATTTGTAAGTGGAGAATTCAGCCGCTTTGAGGTCAATGGTACAAAAGGAAATATCTTCGTATAAAAACTAGACAGAATGATTCTCAGAAACTGTTTTGTGATGTGTGCGTTCAACTCACAGAGTTTAACCTTTCTTTTCAAAGAGCAGTTAGGAAACACTCTGTTTGTAAAGTCTGCAAGTGGATATTCAGACCTCTTTGAGGCGTTCGTTGGAAACGGCATTTCTTCATATTATGCTAGACAGAAGAATTCTCAGTAACTTCCTTGTGTTGTGTGTATTCAACTCACAGAGTTGAACGATCCTTTACACGGAGCAGATTTGAAACACTCTTTTTCTGGAATTTGCAAGTGGAGATTTCAGCCGCTTTGAGGTCAATGGTAGAAAAGGAAATATCTTCATATAAAAACTAGACAGAATGATTCTCAGAAACTCCTTTGTGATGTGTGCGTTCAACTCACAGAGTTTAACCTTTCTTTTCACAGAGCAGTTAGGAAACACTCTGTTTGTGAAGTCTGCCAGTGGATATTCGGACCTCTTTGAGGCCTTCGTTGGAAACGGGATTTCTTCATATTATGCTAGACAGAAGATTTCTCAGTAACTTCTTTGTGTTGTGTGTATGCAACTCACAGAGTTCAACCTTCCTTTAGAGAGAGCAGATTTGAAACACTCTTTTTGTGGAATTTGCAAGTGGAGATTTCTAGCGCTTCGATGCCAATGGTAGAAAAGGAAATATCTTCGTATAAAAACAAGACAAACTCGTTCCCTGAAACTGCGTAGTGATGTGTGTGTTTAACTCACAGACTTTAACGTTTCTTTTCATACAGAATTCTGGAAACCCTCTGTTTGTAAAGTCTGCAAGTGGATATTTGGACCTCTTAGATGCCTTCGTTGGAAACGGGATTTCGTCATATAATAGTAGAGGGAAGAATTCTTAGTAACTTCTTTGTGTTGTGTGTATTCAACTGACAGAGTTGAACCTTCCTTTAGACAGAGCACATTTCAAAGTCTCTTTTTGTGGAATTTGCAAGTGGAGATTTCAAGCGCTTTGAGGCCAAAAGCAGAAAAGGAAATATTTTCCTATAAAAACTAGACAGAATCTTTCTCAGAAACTGCTCTGGGATGTGTGCGTTCAACTCACAGAGTTTAACTTTTCTTTTCATTCAGCAGTTTGGAAACACTCTGTTTGGAAAGTCTGCACGTGGATATTTTGACCTCTTTGAGGCCTTCGTTGGAAACGGGTTTTTTTCATGTAAGGCTAGACAGAAGAAATCTCAGTAACTTCCTTGTGTTGTGTGTATTCAACTGACAGAGTTGAACCTTCTTTTAGACAGAGCAGATTCGAAACACTCTTTTTCTGCAATTTGCAAGTGGAGACTTCAAGCGCTTTGAGGCCAAAGGCAGAAAAGGAAATATCTTCGTATAAAAACCCGACAGAATCATTCTCAGAAACTGCTCTGTGATGTGTGCGTTCAACTCACAGAGTTTAACTTTTCTTTTCATTCAGCAGTTTGGAAACACTCTGTTTGTAAAGTCTGCAAGTGGATATCTTGGCCTCTTAGAGGCCTTCGTTGGAAACGGGTTTTTTCATGTAAGGTTAGACAGAGGAATTCCCAGTAACTTCCTTGTGTTGTGTGCACTCAACTCACAGAGTTGAATGATTCTTTACACAGAGCAGATTTGAGACACTCTTTTGGTGGAATTTGTAAGTGGAGAATTCAGCTGCTTTGAGGTCAACGGTAGAAAAGGAAATATCTTCGTATAAAAACTAGACAGAATGATTCTCAGAAACTGTTTTGTGATGTGTGCGTTCAACTCACAGAGTTTAACCTTTCTTTTCAAAGAGCAGTTAGGAAACACTGTTTGTAAAGTCTGCAAGTGGATATTCAGACCTCTTTGAGGCCTTCGTTGGAAACGGGATTTCTTCATATTATGCTAGACAGATGAATTCTCAGTAACTTCCTTGTGTTGTGTGTATTCAACTCACAGAGTTGAACGATCCTTTACACAGAGCAGATTTGAAACACTGTTTTTCTGGAATTTGCAAGTGGAGATTTCAGCCGCTTTGAGGTCAATGGTAGAAAAGGAAATATCTTCGTATAAAAACTAGACAGAATGATTCTCAGAAACTCCTTTGTGATGTGTGCGTTCAACTCACAGAGTTTAACCTTTCTTTTCACAGAGCAGTTAGGAAACACTCTGTTTGTGAAGCCTGCCAGTGGATATTCGGACCTCTTTGAGGCCTTCGTTGGAAACGGGATTTCTTCATATTATGCTAGACAGAAGATTTCTCAGTAACTTCTTTGTGTTGTGTGTATGCAACTCACAGAGTTTAACCTTCCTTTAGACAGAGCAGATTTGAAACACTCTTTTTGTGGAATTTGCAAGTGGAGATTTCAAGCGCTTCGATGCCAATGGTAGAAAAGGAAATATCTTCGTAGAAAAACAAGACAAACTCGTTCCCAGACACTGCGTAGTGATGTGTGTGTTTAACTCACAGAGTTTAACCTTTCTTTTCATACAGCATTCTGGAAACCCTCTGTTTGTAAAGTCTGCAAGTGGATATTTGGACCTCTTAGATGCCTTCGTTGGAAACGGGATTTCTTCATATAATGCTAGAGGGAAGAATTCTTAGTAACTTCTTTGTGTTGTGTGTATTCAACTGACAGAGTTGAACCTTCCTTTAGACAGAGCAGATTTGAAAGTCTCTTTTTGTGGAATTTGCAAGTGGAGATTTCAAGCGCTTTGAGGCCAAAAGCAGAAAAGGAAATATTTTCCTATAAAAACTCGACAGAATCTTTCTCAGAAACTGCTCTGGGATGTGTGCGTTCAACTCACAGAGTTTAACTTTTCTTTTCATTCAGCAGTTTGGAAACACTCTGTTTGGAAAGTCTGCACGTGGATATTTTGACCTCTTTGAGGCCTTCGTTGGAAACGGGTTTTTTTCATGTAAGGCTAGACAGAAGAAATCTCAGTAACTTCCTTGTGTTGTGTGTATTCAACTGACAGAGTTGAACCTTCCTTTAGACAGAGCAGATTCGAAACACTCTTTTTCTGCAATTTGCAAGTGGAGACTTCAAGCGCTTTGAGGCCAAAGGCAGAAAAGGAAATATCTTCGTATAAAAACCCGACAGAATCATTCTCAGAAACTGCTCTGTGATGTGTGCGTTCAACTCACAGAGTTTAACTTTTCTTTTCATTCAGCAGTTTGGAAACACTCTGTTTGTAAAGTCTGCAAGTGGATATCTTGGCCTCTTAGAGGCCTTCGTTGGAAACGGGTTTTTTCATGTAAGGTAGACAGAGGAATTCCCAGTAACTTCCTTGTGTTGTGTGCATTCAACTCACAGAGTTGAATGATTCTTTACACAGAGCAGATTTGAGACACTCTTTTGGTGGAATTTGTAAGTGGAGAATTCAGCCGCTTTGAGGTCAACGGTAGAAAAGGAAATATCTTCGTATAAAAACTAGACAGAATGATTCTCAGAAACTGTTTTGTGATGTGTGCGTTCAACTCACAGAGTTTAACCTTTCTTTTCAAAGAGCAGTTAGGAAACACTCTGTTTGTAAAGTCTGCAAGTGGATATTCAGACCTCTTTGAGGCCTTCGTTGGAAACGGGATTTCTTCATATTATGCTAGACAGATGAATTCTCAGTAACTTCCTTGTGTTGTGTGTATTCAACTCACAGAGTTGAACGATCCTTTACACAGAGCAGATTTGAAACACTGTTTTTCTGGAATTTGCAAGTGGAGATGTCAGCCGCTTTGAGGTCAATGGTAGAAAAGGAAATATCTTCGTATAAAAACTAGACAGAATGATTCTCAGAAACTCCTTTGTGATGTGTGCGTTCAACTCACAGAGTTTAACCTTTCTTTTCACAGAGCAGTTAGGAAACACTCTGTGAAGCCTGCCAGTGGATATTCGGACCTCTTTGAGGCCTTCGTTGGAAACGGGATTTCTTCATATTATGCTAGACAGAAGATTTCTCAGTAACTTCTTTGGGTTGTGTGTATGCAACTCACAGAGTTCAACCTTCCTTTAGACAGAGCAGATTTGAAACACTCTTTTTGTGGAATTTGCAAGTGGAGATTTCAAGCGCTTCGATGCCAATGGTAGAAAAGGAAATATCTTCGTATAAAAACAAGACAAACTCGTTCCCAGACACTGCGTAGTGATGTGTGTGTTTAACTCACAGAGTTTCACCTTTCTTTTCATACAGCATTCTGGAAACCCTCTGTTTGTAAAGTCTGCAAGTGGATATTTGGACCTCTTAGATGCCTTCGTTGGAAACGGGATTTCTTCATATAATGCTAGAGGGAAGAATTCTTAGTAACTTCTTTGTGTTGTGTGTATTCAACTGACAGAGTTGAACCTTCCTTTAGACAGAGCAGATTTGAAAGTCTCTTTTTGTGGAATTTGCAAGTGGAGATTTCAAGCGCTTTGAGGCCAAAAGCAGAAAAGGAAATATTTTCCTATAAAAACTCGACAGAATCTTTCTCAGAAACTGCTCTGGGATGTGTGCGTTCAACTCACAGAGTTTAACTTTTCTTTTCATTCAGCAGTTTGGAAACACTCTGTTTGGAAAGTCTGCACGTGGATATTTTGACCTCTTTGAGGCCTTCGTTGGAAACGGGTTTTTTTCATGTAAGGCTAGACAGAAGAAATCTCAGTAACTTCCTTGTGTTGTGTGTATTCAACTGACAGAGTTGAACCTTCCTTTAGACAGAGCAGATTCGAAACACTCTTTTTCTGCAATTTGCAAGTGGAGACTTCAAGCGCTTTGAGGCCAAAGGCAGAAAAGGAAATATCTTCGTATAAAAACCCGACAGAATCTTTCTCAGAAACTGCTCTGTGATGTGTGCGTTCAACTCACAGAGTTTAACTTTTCTTTTCATTCAGCAGTTTGGAAACACTCTGTTTGTAAAGTCTGCAAGTGGATATCTTGGCCTCTTAGAGGCCTTCGTTGGAAACGGGTTTTTTCATGTAAGGATAGACAGAGGAATTCCCAGTAACTTCCTTGTGTTGTGTGCATTCAACTCACAGAGTTGAATGATTCTTTACACAGAGCAGATTTGAGACACTCTTTTGGTGGAATTTGTAAGTGGAGAATTCAGCCGCTTTGAGGTCAACGGTAGAAAAGGAAATATCTTCGTATAAAAACTAGACAGAATGATTCTCAGAAACTGTTTTGTGATGTGTGCGTTCAACTCACAGAGTTTAACCTTTCTTTTCAAAGAGCAGTTAGGAAACACTCTGTTTGTAAAGTCTGCAAGTGGATATTCAGACCTCTTTGAGGCCTTCGTTGGAAACGGGATTTCTTCATATTATGCTAGACAGATGAATTCTCAGTAACTTCCTTGTGTTGTGTGTATTCAACTCACAGAGTTGAACGATCCTTTACACAGAGCAGATTTGAAACACTGTTTTTCTGGAATTTGCAAGTGGAGATTTCAGCTGATTTGAGGTCAATGGTAGAAAAGGAAATATCTTCGTATAAAAACTACACAGAATGATTCTCAGAAACTCCTTTGTGATGTGTGCGTTCAACTCACAGAGTTTAACCTTTCTTTTCACAGAGCAGTTAGGAAACACTCTGTTTGTGAAGCCTGCCAGTGGATATTCGGACCTCTTTGAGGCCTTCGTTGGAAACGGGATTTCTTCATATTATGCTAGACAGAAGATTTCTCAGTAACTTCTTTGTGTTGTGTGTATGCAACTCACAGAGTTCAACCTTCCTTTAGACAGAGCAGATTTGAAACACTCTTTTTGTGGAATTTGCAAGTGGAGATTTCAAGCGCTTCGATGCCAATGGTAGAAAAGGAAATATCTTCGTATAAAAACAAGACAAACTCGTTCCCAGACACTGCGTAGTGATGTGTGTGTTTAACTCACAGAGTTTAACCTTTCTTTTCATACAGCATTCTGGAAACCCTGTGTTTGTAAAGTCTGCAAGTGGATATTTGGACCTCTTAGATGCCTTCGTTGGAAACGGGATTTCTTCATATAATGCTAGAGGGAAGAATTCTTAGTAACTTCTTTGTGTTGTGTGTATTCAACTGACAGAGTTGAACCTTCCTTTAGACAGAGCAGATTTGAAAGTCTCTTTTTGTGGAATTTGCAAGTGGAGATTTCAAGCGCTTTGAGGCCAAAAGCAGAAAAGGAAATATTTTCCTATAAAAACTCGACAGAATCTTTCTCAGAAACTGCTCTGGGATGTGTGCGTTCAACTCACAGAGTTTAACTTTTGTTTCCATTCAGCAGTTTGGAAACACTCTGTTTGGAAAGTCTGCACGTGGATATTTTGACCTCTTTGAGGCCTTCGTTGGAAACGGGTTTTTTTCTTGTAAGGCTAGACAGAAGAAATCTCAGTAACTTCCTTGTGTTGTGTGTATTCAACTGACAGAGTTGAACCTTCCTTTAGACAGAGCAGATTCGAAACACTCTTTTTCTGCAATTTGCAAGTGGAGACTTCAAGCGCTTTGAGGCCAAAGGCAGAAAAGGAAATATCTTCGTATAAAAACCCGACAGAATCATTCTCAGAAACTGCTCTGTGATGTGTGCGTTCAACTCACAGAGTTTAACTTTTCTTTTCATTCAGCAGTTTGGAAACACTCTGTTTGTAAAGTCTGCAAGTGGATATCTTGGCCTCTTAGAGGCCTTCGTTGGAAACGGGTTTTTTCATGTAAGGTTAGACAGAGGAATTCCCAGTAACTTCCTTGTGTTGTGTGCATTCAACTCACAGAGTTGAATGATTCTTTACACAGAGCAGATTTGAGACACTCTTTTGGTGGAATTTGTAAGTGGAGAATTCAGCCGCTTTGAGGTCAACGGTAGAAAAGGAAATATCTTCGTATAAAAACTAGACAGAAATGATTCTCAGAAACTGTTTTGTGATGTGTGCGTTCAACTCACAGAGTTTAACCTTTCTTTTCAAAGAGCAGTTAGGAAACACTCTGTTTGTAAAGTCTGCAAGTGGATATTCAGACCTCTTTGAGGCCTTCGTTGGAAACGGGATTTCTTCATATTATGCTAGACAGATGAATTCTCAGTAACTTCCTTGTGTTGTGTGTATTCAACTCACAGAGTTGAACGATCCTTTACACAGAGCAGATTTGAAACACTGTTTTTCTGGAATTTGCAAGTGGAGATGTCAGCCGCTTTGAGGTCAATGGTAGAAAAGGAAATATCTTCGTATAAAAACTAGACAGAATGATTCTCAGAAACTCCTTTGTGATGTGTGCGTTCAACTCACAGAGTTTAACCTTTCTTTTCACAGAGCAGTTAGGAAACACTCTGTTTGTGAAGCCTGCCAGTGGATATTCGGACCTCTTTGAGGCCTTCGTTGGAAACGGGATTTCTTCATATTATGCTAGACAGAAGATTTCTCAGTAACTTCTTTGTGTTGTGTGTATGCAACTCACAGAGTTCAACCTTCCTTTAGACAGAGCAGATTTGAAACACTCTTTTTGTGGAATTTGCAAGTGGAGATTTCAAGCGCTTTGAGGCCAAAAGCAGAAAAGGAAATATTTTCCTATAAAAACTAGACAGAATCTTTCTCAGAAACTGCTCTGTGATGTGTGCGTTCAACTCACAGAGTTTAACTTTTCTTTTCATTCAGCAGTTTGGAAACACTCTGTTTGTAAAGTCTGCAAGTGGATATCTTGGCCTCTTAGAGGCCTTCGTTGGAAACGGGTTTTTTCATGTAAGGATAGACAGAGGAATTCCCAGTAACTTCCTTGTGTTGTGTGCATTCAACTCACAGAGTTGAATGATTCTTTACACAGAGCAGATTTGAGACACTCTTTTGGTGGAATTTGTAAGTGGAGAATTCAGCCGCTTTGAGGTCAACGGTAGAAAAGGAAATATCTTCGTATAAAAACTAGACAGATCATTCTCAGAAACTGCTCTGTGATGTGTGCGTTCAACTCACAGAGTTTAACTTTTCTTTTCATTCAGCAGTTTGGAAACACTCTGTTTGTAAAGTCTGCAAGTGGATATCTTGGCCTCTTAGAGGCCTTCGTTGGAAACGGGTTTTTCATGTAAGGATAGACAGAGGAATTCCCAGTAACTTCCTTGTGTTGTGTGCATTCAACTCACAGAGTTGAATGATTCTTTACACAGAGCAGATTTGAGACAGTCTTTTGGTGGAATTTGTATGTGGAGAATTCAGCCGCTTTGAGGTCAATGGTAGAAAAGGAAATATCTTCGTATAAAAACTAGACAGAATGATTCTCAGAAACTCCTTTGTGATGTGTGCGTTCAACTCACAGAGTTTAACCTTTCTTTTCACAGAGCAGTTAGGAAACACTCTGTTTGTGAAGCCTGCCAGTGGATATTCGGACCTCTTTGAGGCCTTCGTTGGAAACGGGATTTCTTCATATTATGCTAGACAGAAGATTTCTCAGTAACCTTCTTTGTGTTGTGTGTATGCAACTCACAGAGTTCAACCTTCCTTTAGACAGAGCAGATTTGAAACACTCTTTTTGTGGAATTTGCAAGTGGAGATTTCAAGCGCTTCGATGCCAATGGTAGAAAAGGAAATATCTTCGTATAAAAACAAGACAAACTCGTTCCCAGACACTGCGTAGTGATGTGTGTGTTTAACTCACAGAGTTTCACCTTTCTTTTCATACAGCATTCTGGAAACCGTGTGTTTGTAAAGTCTGCAAGTGGATATTTGGACCTCTTAGATGCCTTCGTTGGAAACGGGATTTCTTCATATAATGCTAGAGGGAAGAATTCTTAGTAACTTCTTTGTGTTGTGTGTATTCAACTGACAGAGTTGAACCTTCCTTTAGACAGAGCAGATTTGAAAGTCTCTTTTTGTGGAATTTGCAAGTGGAGATTTCAAGCGCTTTGAGGCCGAAAGCAGAAAAGGAAATATTTTCCTATAAAAACTCGACAGAATCTTTCTCAGAAACTGCTCTGGGATGTGTGCGTTCAACTCACAGAGTTTAACTTTTCTTTTCATTCAGCAGTTTGGAAACACTCTGTTTGGAAAGTCTGCACGTGGATATTTTGACCTCTTTGAGGCCTTCGTTGGAAACGGGTTTTTTTCATGTAAGGCTAGACAGAAGAAATCTCAGTAACTTCCTTGTGTTGTGTGTATTCAACTGACAGAGTTGAACCTTCCTTTAGACAGAGCAGATTCGAAACACTCTTTTTCTGCAATTTGCAAGTGGAGACTTCAAGCGCTTTGAGGCCAAAGGCAGAAAAGGAAATATCTTCGTATAAAAACCCGACAGAATCATTCTCAGAAACTGCTCTGTGATGTGTGCGTTCAACTCACAGAGTTTAACTTTTCTTTTCATTCAGCAGTTTGGAAACACTCTGTTTGTAAAGTCTGCAAGTGGATATCTTGGCCTCTTAGAGGCCTTCGTTGGAAACGGGTTTTTTCATGTAAGGTTAGACAGAGGAATTCCCAGTAACTTCCTTGTGTTGTGTGCATTCAACTCACAGAGTTGAATGATTCTTTACACAGAACAGATTTGAGACACTCTTTTGGTGGAATTTGTAAGTGGAGAATTCAGCCGCTTTGAGGTCAACGGTAGAAAAGGAAATATCTTCGTATAAAAACTAGACAGAATGATTCTCAGAAACTGTTTTGTGATGTGTGCGTTCAACTCACAGAGTTTAACCTTTCTTTTCAAAGAGCAGTTAGGAAACACTCTGTTTGTAAAGTCTGCAAGTGGATATTCAGACCTCTTTGAGGCCTTCGTTGGAAACGGGATTTCTTCATATTATGCTAGACAGATGAATTCTCAGTAACTTCCTTGTGTTGTGTGTATTCAACTCACAGAGTTAAACGATCCTTTACACAGAGCAGATTTGAAACACTGTTTTTCTGGAATTTGCAAATGGAGATTTCAGCCACTTTGAGGTCAATGGTAGAAAAGGAAATATCTTCGTATAAAAACTAGACAGAATGATTCTCAGAAACTCCTTTGTGATGTGTGCGTTCAACTCACAGAGTTTAACCTTTCTTTTCACAGAGCAGTTAGGAAACACTCTGTTTGTGAAGCCTGCCAGTGGATATTCGGACCTCTTTGAGGCCTTCGTTGGAAACGGGATTTCTTCATATTATGCTAGACAGAAGATTTCTCAGTAACTTCTTTGTGTTGTGTGTATGCAACTCACAGAGTTCAACCTTCCTTTAGACAGAGCAGATTTGAAACACTCTTTTTGTGGAATTTGCAAGTGGAGATTTCAAGCGCTTTGAGGCCAAAAGCAGAAAAGGAAATATTTTCCTATAAAAACTAGACAGAATCTTTCTCAGAAACTGCTCTGTGATGTGTGCGTTAAACTCACAGAGTTTAACTTTTCTTTTCATTCAGCAGTTTGGAAACACTCTGTTTGTAAAGTCTGCAAGTGGATATCTTGGCCTCTTAGAGGCCTTCGTTGGAAACGGGTTTTTTCATGTAAGGATAGACAGAGGAATTCCCAGTAACTTCCTTGTGTTGTGTGCATTCAACTCACAGAGTTGAATGATTCTTTACAAAGAGCAGATTTGAGACTCTCTTTTGGTGGAATTTGTAAGTGGAGAATTCAGCCGCTTTGAGGTCAACGGTAGAAAAGGAAATATCTTCGTATAAAAACTAGACAGAATGATTCTCAGAAACTGTTTTGTGATGTGTGCGTTCAACTCACAGAGTTTAACCTTTCTTTTCAAAGAGCAGTTAGGAAACACTCTGTTTGTAAAGTCTGCAAGTGGATATTCAGACCTCTTTGAGGCCTTCGTTGGAAACGGGATTTCTTCATATTATGCTAGACAGAAGAATTCTCAGTAACTTCCTTGTGTTGTGTGTATTCAACTCACAGAGTTGAACGATCCTTTACACAGAACAGATTTGAAACACTCTTTTTCTGGAATTTGCAAGTGGAGATTTCAGCCGCTTTGAGGTCAATGGTAGAAAAGGAAACATCTTCATATAAAAACTAGACAGAATGATTCTCAGAAACTCCTTTGTGATGTGTGCGTTCAACTCACAGAGTTTAACCTTTCTTTTCACAGAGCAGTTAGGAAACACTCTGTTTGTGAAGTCTGCCAGTGGATATTCGGACCTCTTTGAGGCCTTCTTTGGAAACGGGATTTCTTCATATTACGCTAGACAGATTTCTCAGTAACTACTTTGTGTTGTGTGTATGCAACTCACAGAGTTCATCCTTCCTTTAGACAGAGCAGATTTGAAACACTCTTTTTGTGGAATTTGCAAGTGGAGATTTCAAGCGCTTCGACGCCAATGGTCGAAAAGGAAATATCTTCTTATAAAAACAAGACAAAATCATTCCCAGAAACTGCGTAGTGATGTGTGTGTTTAACTCACAGACTTTAACCTTTCTTTTCATACAGCATTCTGGAAACCCTCTGTTTGTAAAGTCTGCAAGTGGATATTTGGACCTCTTAGATGCCTTCGTTGGAAACGGGATTTCTTCATATAATGCTAGAGGGAAGAATTCTTAGTAACTTCTTTGTGTTGTGTGTATTCAACTGAGAGAGTTGAACCTTCCTTTAGACAGAGCAGATTTGAAAGTCTCTTTTTGTGGAATTTGCAAGTGGAGATTTCAAGCGCTTTGAGGCCAAAAGCAGAAAAGGAAATATTTTCCTATAAAAACTCGACAGAATCTTTCTCAGAAACTGCTCTGGGATGTGTGCGTTCAACTCACAGAGTTTAACTTTTCTTTTCATTCAGCAGTTTGGAAACACTCTGTTTGGAAAGTCTGCACGTGGATATTTTGACCTCTTTGAGGCCTTCGTTGGAAACGGGTTTTTTTCATGTAAGGCTAGACAGAAGAAATCTCAGTAACTTCCTTGTGTTGTGTGTATTCAACTGACAGAGTTGAACCTTCCTTTAGACAGAGCAGATTCGAAACACTCTTTTTCTGCAATTTGCAAGTGGAGACTTCAAGCGCTTTGAGGCCAAAGGCAGAAAAGGAAATATCTTCGTATAAAAACCCGACAGAATCATTCTCAGAAACTGCTCTGTGATGTGTGCGTTCAACTCACAGAGTTTAACTTTTCTTTTCATTCAGCAGTTTGGAAACACTCTGTTTGTAAAGTCTGCAAGTGGATATCTTGGCCTCTTAGAGGCCTTCGTTGGAAATGGGTTTTTTCATGTAAGGTTAGACAGAGGAATTCCCAGTAACTTTCCTTGTGTTGTGTGCATTCAACTCACAGAGTTGAATGATTCTTTACACAGAGCAGATTTGAGACACTCTTTTGGTGGAATTTGTAAGTGGAGAATTCAGCCGCTTTGAGGTCAACGGTAGAAAAGGAAATATCTTCGTATAAAAACTAGAAAGATGATTCTCAGAAACTGTTTTGTGATGTGTGCGTTCAACTCACAGAGTTTAACCTTTCTTTTCAAAGAGCAGTTAGGAAACACTCTGTTTGTAAAGTCTGCAAGTGGATATTCAGAACTCTTTGAGGCCTTCGTTGGAAACGGGATTTCTTCATATTATGCTAGACAGATGAATTCTCAGTAACTTCCTTGTGTTGTGTGTATTCAACTCACAGAGTTGAACGATCCTTTACACAGAGCAGATTTGAAACACTGTTTTTCTGGAATTTGCAAGTGGAGATTTCAGCCGCTTTGAGGTCAATGGTAGAAAAGGAAATATCTTCGTATAAAAACTAGACAGAATGATTCTCAGAAACTCCTTTGTGATGTGTGCGTTCAACTCACAGAGTTTAACCTTTCTTTTCACAGAGCAGTTAGGAAACACTCTGTTTGTGAAGCCTGCCAGTGGATATTCGGACCTCTTTCAGGCCTTCGTTGGAAACGGGATTTCTTCATATTATGCTAGACAAAAGATTTCTCAGTAACTTCTTTGTGTTGTGTATATGCAACTCACAGAGTTCAACCTTCCTTTAGACAGAGCAGATTTGAAACACTCTTTTTGTGGAATTTGCAAGTGGAGATTTCAAGCGCTTCGATGCCAATGGTAGAAAAGGAAATATCTTCGTATAAAAACAAGACAAACTCGTTCCCAGACACTGCGTAGTGATGTGTGTGTTTAACTCACAGAGTTTAACCTTTCTTTTCATACAGCATTCTGGAAACCCTCTGTTTGTAAAGTCTGCAAGTGGATATTTGGACCTCTTAGATGCCTTCGTTGGAAACGGGATTTCTTCATATAATGCTAGAGGGAAGAATTCTTAGTAACTTCTTTGTGTTGTGTGTATTCAACTGACAGAGTTGAACCTTCCTTTAGACAGAGCAGATTTGAAAGTCTCTTTTTGTGGAATTTGCAAGTGGAGATTTCAAGCGCTTTGAGGCCAAAAGCAGAAAAGTTAATATTTTCCTATAAAAACTAGACAGAATCATTCTCAGAAACTGCTCTGTGATGTGTGTGTTCAACTCACAGAGTTTAACTTTCTTTTCATTCAGCAGTTTGGAAACACTCTGTTTGGAAAGTCTGCACGTGGATATTTTGACCTCTTTGAGGCCTTCGTTGGAAACGGGTTTTTTTCATGTAACGCTAGACAGAAGAAATCTCAGTAACTTCCTTGTGTTGTGTGTATTCAACTGACAGAGTTGAACCTTCCTTTAGACAGAGCAGATTCGAAACACTCTTTTTCTGCAATTTGCAAGTGGAGACTTCAAGCGCTTTGAGGCCAAAGGCAGAAAAGGAAATATCTTCGTATAAAAACCCGACAGAATCATTCTCAGAAACTGCTGTGTGATGTGTGCGTTCAACTCACAGAGTTTAACTTTTCTTTTCATTCAGCAGTTTGGAAACACTCTGTTTGTAAAGTCTGCAAGTGGATATCTTGGCCTCTTAGAGGCCTTCGTTGGAAACGGGTTTTTTCATGTAAGGTTAGACAGAGGAATTCCCAGTAACTTCCCTTGTGTTGTGTGCATTCAACTCACAGAGTTGAATGATTCTTTACACAGAGCAGATTTGAGACACTCTTTTGGTGGAATTTGTTAGTGGAGAATTCAGCCGCTTTGAGGTCAACGGTAGAAAAGGATATATCTTCGTATAAAAACTAGACAGAATGATTCTCAGAAACTGTTTTGTGATGTGTGCGTTCAACTCACAGAGTTTAACCTTTCTTTTCAAAGAGCAGTTAGGAAACACTCTGTTTGTAAAGTCTGCAAGTGGATATTCAGACCTCTTTGAGGCCTTCGTTGGAAACGGGATTTCTTCATATTATGCTAGACAGATGAATTCTCAGTAACTTCCTTGTGTTGTGTGTATTCAACTCACAGAGTTAAACGATCCTTTACACAGAGCAGATTTGAAACACTGTTTTTCTGGAATTTGCAAGTGGAGATTTCAGCCGCTTTGAGGTCAATGGTAGAAAAGGAAATATCTTCCTATAAAAACTAGACAGAATGATTCTCAGAAACTCCTTTGTGATGTGTGCGTTCAACTCACAGAGTTTAACCTTTCTTTTCACAGAGCAGTTAGGAAACACTCTGTTTGTGAAGCCTGCCAGTGGATATTCGGACCTCTTTGAGGCCTTCGTTGGAAACGGGATTTCTTCATATTATGCTAGACAGAAGATTTCTCAGTAACTTCTTTGTGTTGTGTGTATGCAACTCACAGAGTTCAACCTTCCTTTAGACAGAGCAGATTTGAAACACTCTTTTTGTGGAATTTGCAAGTGGAGATTTCAAGCGCTTCGATGCCAATGGTAGAAAAGGAAATATCTTCGTATAAAAACAAGACAAACTCGTTCCCAGACACTGCGTAGTGATGTGTGTGTTTAACTCACAGAGTTTCACCTTTCTTTTCATACAGCATTCTGGAAACCCTGTGTTTGTAAAGTCTGCAAGTGGATATTTGGACCTCTTAGATGCCTTCGTTGGAAACGGGATTTCTTCATATAATGCTAGAGGGAAGAATTCTTAGTAACTTCTTTGTGTTGTGTGTATTCAACTGACAGAGTTGAACCTTCCTTTAGACAGAGCAGATTTGAAAGTCTCTTTTTGTGGAATTTGCAAGTGGAGATTTCAAGCGCTTTGAGGCCAAAAGCAGAAAAGGAAATATTTTCCTATAAAAACTCGACAGAATCTTTCTCAGAAACTGCTCTGGGATGTGTGCGTTCAACTCACAGAGTTTAACTTTTCTTTTCATTCAGCAGTTTGGAAACACTCTGTTTGGAAAGTCTGCACGTGGATATTTTGACCTCTTTGAGGCCTTCGTTGGAAACGGGTTTTTTTCATGTAAGGCTAGACAGAAGAAATCTCAGTAACTTCCTTGTGTTGTGTGTATTCAACTGACAGAGTTGAACCTTCCTTTAGACAGAGCAGATTCGAAACACTCTTTTTCTGCAATTTGCAAGTGGAGACTTCAAGCGCTTTGAGGCCAAAGGCAGAAAAGGAAATATCTTCGTATAAAAACCCGACAGAATCATTCTCAGAAACTGCTCTGTGATGTGTGCGTTCAACTCACAGAGTTTAACTTTTCTTTTCATTCAGCAGTTTGGAAACACTCTGTTTGTAAAGTCTGCAAGTGGATATCTTGGCCTCTTAGAGGCCTTCGTTGGAAGCGGGTTTTTTCATGTAAGGATAGACAGAGGAATTCCCAGTAACTTCCTTGTGTTGTGTGCATTCAACTCACAGAGTTGAATGATTCTTTACACAGAGCAGATTTGAGACACTCTTTTGGTGGAATTTGTAAGTGGAGAATTCAGCCGCTTTGAGGTCAACGATAGAAAAGCAAATATCTTCGTATAAAAACTAGACAGAATGATTCTCAGAAACTGTTTTGTGATGTGTGCGTTCAACTCACAGAGTTTAACCTTTCTTTTCAAAGAGCAGTTAGGAAACACTCTGTTTGTAAAGTCTGCAAGTGGATATTCAGACCTCTTTGAGGCCTTCGTTGGAAACGGGATTTCTTCATATTATGCTAGACAGATGAATTCTCAGTAACTTCCTTGTGTTGTGTGTATTCAACTCACAGAGTTAAACGATCCTTTACACAGAGCAGATTTGAAACACTGTTTTTCTGGAATTTGCAAGTGGAGATTTCAGCCGCTTTGAGGTCAATGGTAGAAAAGGAAATATCTTCGTATAAAAACTAGACAGAATGATTCTCAGAAACTCCTTTGTGATGTGTGCGTTCAACTCACAGAGTTTAACCTTTCTTTTCACAGAGCAGTTAGGAAACACTCTGTTTGTGAAGCCTGCCAGTGGATATTCGGACCTCTTTGAGGCCTTCGTTGGAAACGGGATTTCTTCATATTATGCTAGACAGAAGATTTCTCAGTAACTTCTTTGTGTTGTGTGTATGCAACTCACAGAGTTCAACCTTCCTTTAGACAGAGCAGATTTGAAACACTCTTTTTGTGGAATTTGCAAGTGGAGATTTCAAGCGCTTTGAGGCCAAAAGCAGAAAAGGAAATATTTTCCTATAAAAACTAGACAGAATCTTTCTCAGAAACTGCTCTGTGATGTGTGCGTTCAACTCACAGAGTTTAACTTTTCTTTTCATTCAGCAGTTTGGAAACACTCTGTTTGTAAAGTCTGCAAGTGGATATCTTGGCCTCTTAGAGGCCTTCGTTGGAAACGGGTTTTTTCATGTAAGGATAGACAGAGGAATTCCCAGTAACTTCCTTGTGTTGTGTGCATTCAACTCACAGAGTTGAATGATTCTTTACACAGAGCAGATTTGAGACACTCTTTTGGTGGAATTTGTAAGTGGAGAATTCAGCCGCTTTGAGGTCAACGGTAGAAAAGGAAATATCTTCGTATAAAAACTAGACAGAATGATTCTCAGAAACTGTTTTGTGATGTGTGCGTTCAACTCACAGAGTTTAACCTTTCTTTTCAAAGAGCAGTTAGGAAACACTCTGTTTGTAAAGTCTGCAAGTGGATATTCAGACCTCTTTGAGGCCTTCGTTGGAAACGGGATTTCTTCATATTATGCTAGACAGATGAATTCTCAGTAACTTCCTTGTGTTGTGTGTATTCAACTCACAGAGTTGAACGATCCTTTACACAGAGCAGATTTGAAACACTGTTTTTCTGGAATTTGCAAGTGGAGATTTCAGCCGCTTTGAGGTCAATGGTAGAAAAGGAAATATCTTCGTATAAAAACTAGACAGAATGATTCTCAGAAACTCCTTTGTGATGTGTGCGTTCAACTCACAGAGTTTAACCTTTCTTTTCACAGAGCAGTTAGGAAACACTCTGTTTGTGAAGCCTGCCAGTGGATAATCGGACCTCTTTGAGGCCTTCGTTGGAAACGGGATTTCTTCATATTATGCTAGACAGAAGATTTCTCAGTAACTTCTTTGGGTTGTGTGTATGCAACTCACAGAGTTCAACCTTCCTTTAGACAGAGCAGATTTGAAACACTCTTTTTGCGGAATTTGCAAGTGGAGATTTCAAGCCCTTCGATGCCAATGGTAGAAAAGGAAATATCTTCGTATAAAAACAAGACAAACTCGTTCCCAGACACTGCGTAGTGATGTGTGTGTTTAACTCACAGAGTTTAACCTTTCTTTTCATACAGCATTCTGGAAACCCTCTGTTTGTAAAGTCTGCAAGTGGATATTTGGACCTCTTAGATGCCTTCGTTGGAAACGGGATTTCTTCATATAATGCTAGAGGGAAGAATTCTTAGTAACTTCTTTGTGTTGTGTGTATTCAACTGACAGAGTTGAACCTTCCTTTAGACAGAGCAGATTTGAAAGTCTCTTTTTGTGGAATTTGCAAGTGGAGATTTCAAGCGCTTTGAGGCCAAAAGCAGAAAAGTTAATATTTTCCTATAAAAACTAGACAGAATCATTCTCAGAAACTGCTCTGTGATGTGTGTGTTCAACTCACAGAGTTTAACTTTCTTTTCATTCAGCAGTTTGGAAACACTCTGTTTGGAAAGTCTGCACGTGGATATTTTGACCTCTTTGAGGCCTTCGTTGGAAACGGGTTTTTTTCATGTAACGCTAGACAGAAGAAATCTCAGTAACTTCCTTGTGTTGTGTGTATTCAACTGACAGAGTTGAACCTTCCTTTAGACAGAGCAGATTCGAAACACTCTTTTTCTGCAATTTGCAAGTGGAGACTTCAAGCGCTTTGAGGCCAAAGGCAGAAAAGGAAATATCTTCGTATAAAAACCCGACAGAATCATTCTCAGAAACTGCTCTGTGATGTGTGCGTTCAACTCACAGAGTTTAACTTTTCTTTTCATTCAGCAGTTTGGAAACACTCTGTTTGTAAAGTCTGCAAGTGGATATCTTGGCCTCTTAGAGGCCTTCGTTGGAAACGGGTTTTTTCATGTAAGGTTAGACAGAGGAATTCCCAGTAACTTCCTTGTGTTGTGTGCATTCAACTCACAGAGTTGAATGATTCTTTACACAGAGCAGATTTGAGACACTCTTTTGGTGGAATTTGTAAGTGGAGAATTCAGCCGCTTTGAGGTCAACGGTAGAAAAGGAAATATCTTCGTATAAAAACTAGACAGAATGATTCTCAGAAACTGTTTTGTGATGTGTGCGTTCAACTCACAGAGTTTAACCTTTCTTTTCAAAGAGCAGTTAGGAAACACTCTGTTTGTAAAGTCTGCAAGTGGATATTCAGACCTCTTTGAGGCCTTCGTTGGAAACGGGATTTCTTCATATTATGCTAGACAGATGAATTCTCAGTAACTTCCTTGTGTTGTGTGTATTCAACTCACAGAGTTGAACGATCCTTTACACAGAGCAGATTTGAAACACTGTTTTTCTGGAATTTGCAAGTGGAGATTTCAGCCGCTTTGAGGTCAATGGTAGAAAAGGAAATATCTTCGTATAAAAACTAGACAGAATGATTCTCAGAAACTCCTTTGTGATGTGTGCGTTCAACTCACAGAGTTTAACCTTTCTTTTCACAGAGCAGTTAGGAAACACTCTGTTTGTGAAGCCTGCCAGTGGATATTCGGACCTCTTTGAGGCCTTCGTTGGAAACGGGATTTCTACATATTATGCTAGACAGAAGATTTCTCAGTAACTTCTTTGTGTTGTGTGTATGCAACTCACAGAGTTCAACCTTCCTTTAGACAGAGCAGATTTGAAACACTCTTTTTGTGGAATTTGCAAGTGGAGATTTCAAGCGCTTCGATGCCAATGGTAGAAAAGGAAATATCTTCGTATAAAAACAAGACAAACTCGTTCCCAGACACTGCGTAGTGATGTGTGTGTTTAACTCACAGAGTTTAACCTTTCTTTTCATACAGCATTCTGGAAACCCTGTGTTTGTAAAGTCTGCAAGTGGATATTTGGACCTCTTAGATACCTTCGTTGGAAACGGGATTTCTTCATATAATGCTAGAGGGAAGAATTCTTAGTAACTTCTTTGTGTTGTGTGTATTCAACTGACAGAGTTGAACCTTCCTTTAGACAGAGCAGATTTGAAAGTCTCTTTTTGTGGAATTTGCAAGTGGAGATTTCAAGCGCTTTGAGGCCAAAAGCAGAAAAGGAAATATTTTCCTATAAAAACTCGACAGAATCTTTCTCAGAAACTGCTCTGGGATGTGTGCGTTCAACTCACAGAGTTTAACTTTTCTTTTCATTCAGCAGTTTGGAAACACTCTGTTTGGAAAGTCTGCACGTGGATATTTTGACCTCTTTGAGGCCTTCGTTGGAAACGGGTTTTTTTCATGTAAGGCTAGACAGAAGAAATCTCAGTAACTTCCTTGTGTTGTGTGTATTCAACTGACAGAGTTGAACCTTCCTTTAGACAGAGCAGATTCGAAACACTCTTTTTCTGCAATTTGCAAGTGGAGACTTCAAGCACTTTGAGGCCAAAGGCAGAAAAGGAAATATCTTCGTATAAAAACCCGACAGAATCATTCTCAGAAACTGCTCAGTGATGTGTGCGTTCAACTCACAGAGTTTAACTTTTCTTTTCATTCAGCAGTTTGGAAACACTCTGTTTGTAAAGTCTGCAAGTGGATATTTTGACCTCTTTGAGGCCTTCGTTGGGAACGGGTTTTTTTCATGTAATGCTAGACAGAGGAATTCCCAGTAACTTCCTTGTGTTGTGTGCATTCAACTCACAGAGTTGAATGATTCTTTACACAGAGCAGATTTGAGACACTCTTTTGGTGGAATTTGTAAGTGGAGAATTCAGCTGCTTTGAGGTCAACGGTAGAAAAGGAAATATCTTCGTATAAAAAATTGACAGAATGATTCTCAGAAACTGTTTTGTGATGTGTGCTTTCAACTCACAGAGTTTAACCTTTCTTTTCAAAGAGCAGTTAGGAAACACTCTGTTTGTAAAGTCTGCAAGTAGATATTCAGACCTCTTTGAGGCCTTCGTTGGAAACGGGATTTCTTCATATTATGCTAGACAGATGAATTCTCAGTAACTTCCTTGTGTTGTGTGTATTCAACTCACAGAGTTGAACGATCCTTTACACAGAGCAGATTTGAAACACTGTTTTTCTGGAATTTGCAAGTGGAGATTTCAGCCGCTTTGAGGTCAATGGTAGAAAAGGAAATATCTTCGTATAAAAACTAGACAGAATGATTCTCAGAAACTCCTTTGTGATGTGTGCGTTCAACTCACAGAGTTTAACCTTTCTTTTCACAGAGCAGTTAGGAAACACTCTGTTTGTGAAGCCTGCCAGTGGATATTCGGACCTCTTTGAGGCCTTCGTTGGAAACGGGATATCTTCATATTATGCTAGACAGAAGATTTCTCAGTAACTTCTTTGTGTTGTGTGTATGCAACTCACAGAGTTCAACCTTCCTTTAGACAGAGCAGATTTGAAACACTCTTTTTGTGGAATTTGCAAGTGGAGATTTCAAGCGCTTCGATGCCAATGGTAGAAAAGGAAATATCTTCGTATAAAAACAAGACAAACTCGTTCCCAGACACTGCGTAGTGATGTGTGTGTTTAACTCACAGAGTTTAACCTTTCTTTTCATACAGCATTCTGGAAACCCTCTGTTTGTAAAGTCTGCAAGTGGATATTTGGACCTCTTAGATGCCTTCGTTGGAAACGGGATTTCTTCATATAATGCTAGAGGGAAGAATTCTTAGTAACTTCTTTGTGTTGTGTGTATTCAACTGACAGAGTTGAACCTTCCTTTAGACAGAGCAGATTTGAAAGTCTCTTTTTGTGGAATTTGCAAGTGGAGATTTCAAGCGCTTTGAGGCCAAAAGCAGAAAAGGAAATATTTTCCTATAAAAACTCGACAGAATCTTTCTCAGAAACTGCTCTGGGATGTGTGCGTTCAACTCACAGAGTTTAACTTTTCTTTTCATTCAGCAGTTTGGAAACACTCTGTTTGGAAAGTCTGCACGTGGATATTTTGACCTCTTTGAGGCCTTCGTTGGAAACGGGTTTTTTTCATGTAAGGCTAGACAGAAGAAATCTCAGTAACTTCCTTGTGTTGTGTGTATTCAACTGACAGAGTTGAACCTTCCTTTAGACAGAGCAGATTCGAAACACTCTTTTTCTGCAATTTGCAAGTGGAGACTTCAAGCGCTTTGAGGCCAAAGGCAGAAAAGGAAATATCTTCGTATAAAAACCCGACAGAATCATTCTCAGAAACTGCTCTGTGATGTGTGCGTTCAACTCACAGAGTTTAACTTCTCTTTTCATTCAGCAGTTTGGAAACACTCTGTTTGTAAAGTCTGCAAGTGGATATCTTGGCCTCTTAGAGGCCTTCGTTGGAAACGGGTTTTTTCATGTAAGGATAGACAGAGGAATTCCCAGTAACTTCCTTGTGTTGTGTGCATTCAACTCACAGAGTTGAATGATTCTTTACACAGAGCAGATTTGAGACACTCTTTTGGTGGAATTTGTAAGTGGAGAATTCAGCCGCTTTGAGGTCAACGGTAGAAAAGGAAATATCTTCGTATAAAAACTAGACAGAATGATTCTCAGAAACTGTTTTGTGATGTGTGCGTTCAACTCACAGAGTTTAACCTTTCTTTTCAAAGAGCAGTTAGGAAACACTCTGTTTGTAAAGTCTGCAAGTGGATATTCAGACCTCTTTGAGGCCTTCGTTGGAAACGGGATTTCTTCATATTATGCTAGACAGATGAATTCTCAGTAACTTCCTTGTGTTGTGTGTATTCAACTCACAGAGTTGAACGATCCTTTACACAGAGCAGATTTGAAACACTGTTTTTCTGGAATTTGCAAGTGGAGATTTCAGCCGATTTGAGGTCAATGGTAGAAAAGGAAATATCTTCGTATAAAAACTAGACAGAATGATTCTCAGAAACTCCTTTGTGATGTGTGCGTTCAACTCACAGAGTTTAACCTTTCTTTTCACAGAGCAGTTAGGAAACACTCTGTTTGTGAAGCCTGCCAGTGGATATTCGGACCTCTTTGAGGCCTTCGTTGGAAACGGGATTTCTTCATATTATGCTAGACAGAAGATTTCTCAGTAACTTCTTTGTGTTGTGTGTATGCAACTCACAGAGTTCAACCTTCCTTTAGACAGAGCAGATTTGAAACACTCTTTTTGTGGAATTTGCAAGTGGAGATTTCAAGCCCTTCGATGCCAATGGTAGAAAAGGAAATATCTTCGTATAAAAACAAGACAAACTCGTTCCCAGACACTGCGTAGTGATGTGTGTGTTTAACTCACAGAGTTTAACCTTTCTTTTCATACAGCATTCTGGAAACCCTGTGTTTGTAAAGTCTGCAAGTGGATATTTGGACCTCTTAGATGCCTTCGTTGGAAACGGGATTTCTTCATATAATGCTAGAGGGAAGAATTCTTAGTAACTTCTTTGTGTTGTGTGTATTCAACTGACAGAGTTGAACCTTCCTTTAGACAGAGCAGATTTGAAAGTCTCTTTTTGTGGAATTTGCACGTGGAGATTTCAAGCGCTTTGAGGCCAAAAGCAGAAAAGGAAATATTTTCCTATAAAAACTCGACAGAATCTTTCTCAGAAACTGCTCTGGGATGTGTGCGTTCAACTCACAGAGTTTAACTTTTCTTTTCATTCAGCAGTTTGGAAACACTCTGTTTGGAAAGTCTGCACGTGGATATTTTGACCTCTTTGAGGCCTTCGTTGGAAACGGGTTTTTTTCATGTAAGGCTAGACAGAAGAAATCTCAGTAACTTCCTTGTGTTGTGTGTATTCAACTGACAGAGTTGAACCTTCCTTTAGACAGAGCAGATTCGAAACACTCTTTTTCTGCAATTTGCAAGTGGAGACTTCAAGCGCTTTGAGGCCAAAGGCAGAAACGGAAATATCTTCGTATAAAAACCCGACAGAATCATTCTCAGAAACTGCTCTGTGATGTGTGCGTTCAACTCACAGAGTTTAACTTTTCTTTTCATTCAGCAGTTTGGAAACACTCTGTTTGTAAAGTCTGCAAGTGGATATCTTGGCCTCTTAGAGGCCTTCGTTGGAAACGGGTTTTATCATGTAAGGTTAGACAGAGGAATTCCCACTAACTTCCTTGTGTTGTGTGCATTCAACTCACAGAGTTGAATGATTCTTTACACAGAGCAGATTTGAGACACTCTTTTGGTGGAATTTGTAAGTGGAGAATTCAGCTGCTTTGATGTCAACGGTAGAAAAGGAAATAATATCTTCGTATAAAAACTAGACAGAATGATTCTCAGAAACTGTTTTGTGATGTGTGCGTTCAACTCACAGAGTTTAACCTTTCTTTTCAAAGAGCAGTTAGGAAACACTCTGTTTGTAAAGTCTGCAAGTGGATATTCAGACCTCTTTGAGGCCTTCGTTGGAAACGGGATTTCTTCATATTATGCTAGACAGATGAATTCTCAGTAATTTCCTTGTGTTGGGTGTATTCAACTCACAGAGTTGAACGATCCTTTACACAGAGCAGATTTGAAACACTCTTTTTCTGGAATCTGCAAGTGGAGATTTCAGCCGCTTTGAGGTCAATGGTAGAAAAGGAAATATCTTCGTATAAAAACTAGACAGAATGATTCTCAGAAACCCCTTTGTGATGTGTGCGTTCAACTCACAGAGTTTAACCTTTCTTTTCACAGAGCAGTTGGGAAACACTCTGTTTGTTAAGTCTGCCAGTGGATATTCGGACCTCTTTGAGGCCTTCGTTGGAAACGGGAGTTCTTCATATTATGCTAGACAGATTTCTCAGTAACTACTTTGTGTTGTGTGTATGCATCTCACAGAGTTCAACCTTCCTTTAGAGATAGCAGATTTGAAACACTCTTTTTGTTGAATTTGCAAGTGGAGATTTCAAGCGCTTCGATGCCAATGGTAGAAAAGGAAATATCTTCGTAGAAAAATAAGACAAACTCGTTCCCAGAAACTGCGTAGTGATGTGTGTGTTTAACTCACAGAGTTTAACCTTTCTTTTCATACAGAAGTCTGGAAACCCTCTGTTTGTAAAGTCTGCAAGTGGATATTTGGACCTCTTAGATGCCTTCGTTGGAAACGGGATTTCTCCACATACTGCTAGAGGGAAGAATTCTTAGTAACTTCTTTGTGTTGTGTGTATTCAACTGACAGAGTTGAACCTTCCTTTAGACAGAGCAGATTTGAAAGTCTCTTTTTGTGGAATTTGCAAGTGGAGATTTCAAGCGCTTTGAGGCCAAAAGCAGAAAAGGAAATATTTTCCTATAAAAACTAGACAGAATCATTCTCAGAAACTGCTCTGTGATGTGTGTGTTCAACTCACAGAGTTTAACTTTCTTTTCATTCAGCAGTTTGGAAACACTCTGTTTGGAAAGTCTGCACGTAGATATTTTGACCTCTTTGAGGCCTTCGTTGGAAACGGGTTTTTTTCATGTAAGGCTAGACAGAAGAAATCTCAGTAACTTCCTTGTGTTGTGTGTATTCAACTGACAGAGTTGAACCTTCCTTTAGACAGAGCAGATTCGAAACACTCTTTTTCTGCAATTTGCAAGTGGAGACTTCAAGCGCTTTGAGGCCAAAGGCAGAAAAGGAAATATCTTCGTATAAAAACCCGACAGAATCATTCTCAGAAACTGCTCTGTGATGTGTGCGTTCAACTCACAGAGTTTAACTTTTCTTTTCATTCAGCAGTTTGGAAACACTCTGTTTGTAAAGTCTGCAAGTGGATATCTTGGCCTCTTAGAGGCCTTCGTTGGAAACGGGTTTTTTCATGTAAGGTTAGACAGAGGAATTCCCAGTAACTTCCTTGTGTTGTGTGCATTCAACTCACAGAGTTGAATGATTCTTTACACAGAGCAGATTTGAGACACTCTTTTGGTGGAATTTGTTAGTGGAGAATTCAGCCGCTTTGAGGTCAACGGTAGAAAAGGAAATATCTTCGTATAAAAACTAGACAGAATGATTCTCAGAAACTGTTTTGTGATGTGTGCGTTCAACTCACAGAGTTTAACCTTTCTTTTCAAAGAGCAGTTAGGAAACACTCTGTTTGTAAAGTCTGCAAGTGGATATTCAGACCTCTTTGAGGCCTTCGTTGGCAACGGGATTTCTTCATATTATGATAGACAGATGAATTCTCAGTAACTTCCTTGTGTTGTGTGTATTCAACTCACAGAGTTGAACGATCCTTTACACAGAGCAGATTTGAAACACTGTTTTTCTGGAATTTGCAAGTGGAGATTTCAGCCGCTTTGAGGTCAATGGTAGAAAAAGAAATATCTTCGTATAAAAACTAGACAGAATGATTCTCAGAAACTCCTTTGTGATGTGTGCGTTCAACTCACAGAGTTTAACCTTTCTTTTCACAGAGCAGTTAGGAAACACTCTGTTTGTGAAGCCTGCCAGTGGATATTCGGACCTCTTTGAGGCCTTCGTTGGAAACGGGATTTCTTCATATTATGCTAGACAGAAGATTTCTCAGTAACTTCTTTGGGTTGTGTGTATGCAACTCACAGAGTTCAACCTTCCTTTAGACAGAGCAGATTTGAAACACTCTTTTTGTGGAATTTGCAAGTGGAGATTTCAAACGCTTCGATGCCAATGGTAGAAAAGGAAATATCTTCGTATAAAAACAAGACAAACTCGTTCCCAGACACTGCGTAGTGATGTGTGTGTTTAACTCACAGAGTTTAACCTTTCTTTTCATACAGCATTCTGGAAACCCTGTGTTTGTAAAGTCTGCAAGTGGATATTTGGACCTCTTAGATGCCTTCGTTGGAAACGGGATTTCTTCATATAATGCTAGAGGGAAGAATTCTTAGTAACTTCTTTGTGTTGTGTGTATTCAACTGACAGAGTTGAACCTTCCTTTAGACAGAGCAGATTTGAAAGTCTCTTTTTGTGGAATTTGCAAGTGGAGATTTCAAGCGCTTTGAGGCCAAAAGCAGAAAAGGAAATATTTTCCTATAAAAACTAGACAGAATCTTTCTCAGAAACTGCTCTGGGGATGTGTGCGTTCAACTCACAGAGTTTAACTTTTCTTTTCATTCAGCAGTTTGGAAACACTCTGTTTGGAAAGTCTGCACGTGGATATTTTGACCTCTTTGAGGCCTTCGTTGGAAACGGGTTTTTTTCATGTAAGGCTAGACAGAAGAAATCTCAGTAACTTCCTTGTGTTGTGTGTATTCAACTGACAGAGTTGAACCTTCCTTTAGACAGAGCAGATTTGAAACACTCTTTTTCTGCAATTTGCAAGTGGAGACTTCAAGCGCTTTGAGGCCAAAGGCAGAAAAGGAAATATCTTCGTATAAAAACCCGACAGAATCATTCTCAGAAACTGCTCTGTGATGTGTGCGTTCAACTCACAGAGTTTAACTTTTCTTTTCATTCAGCAGTTTGGAAACACTCTGTTTGTAAAGTCTGCAAGTGGATATCTTGGCCTCTTAGAGGCCTTCGTTGGAAGCGGGTTTTTTCATGTAAGGATAGACAGAGGAATTCCCAGTAACTTCCTTGTGTTGTGTGCATTCAACTCACAGAGTTGAATGATTCTTTACACAGAGCAGATTTGAGACACTCTTTTGGTGGAATTTGTAAGTGGAGAATTCAGCCGCTTTGAGGTCAACGGTAGAAAAGGAAATATCTTCATATAAAAACTAGACAGAATGATTCTCAGAAACTGTTTTGTGATGTGTGCGTTCAACTCACAGAGTTTAACCTTTCTTTTCAAAGAGCAGTTAGGAAACACTCTGTTTGTAAAGTCTGCAAGTGGATATTCAGACCTCTTTGAGGCCTTCGTTGGAAACGGGATTTCTTCATATTATGCTAGACAGATGAATTCTCAGTAACTTCCTTGTGTTGTGTGTATTCAACTCACAGAGTTGAACGATCCTTTACACAGAGCAGATTTGAAACACTGTTTTTCTGGAATTTGCAAGTGGAGATTTCAGCCGCTTTGAGGTCAATGGTAGAAAAGGAAATATCTTCTGTATAAAAACTAGACAGAATGATTCTCAGAAACTCCTTTGTGATGTGTGCGTTCAACTCACAGAGTTTAACCTTTCTTTTCACAGAGCAGTTAGGAAACACTCTGTTTGTGAAGCCTGCCAGTGGATATTCGGACCTCTTTGAGGCCTTCGTTGGAAACGGGATTTCTTCATATTTTGCTAGACAGAAGATTTCTCAGTAACTTCTTTGTGTTGTGTGTATGCAACTCACAGAGTTCAACCTTCCTTTAGACAGAGCAGATTTGAAACACTCTTTTTGTGGAATTTGCAAGTGGAGATTTCAAGCGCTTCGATGCCAATGGTAGAAAAGGAAATATCTTCGTATAAAAACAAGACAAACTCGTTCCCAGACACTGCGTAGTGATGTGTGTGTTTAACTCACAGAGTTTAACCTTTCTTTTCATACAGCATTCTGGAAACCCTCTGTTTGTAAAGTCTGCAAGTCGATATTTGGACCTCTTAGATGCCTTCGTTGGAAACGGGATTTCTTCATATAATGCTAGAGGGAAGAATTCTTAGTAACTTCTTTGTGTTGTGTGTATTCAACTGACAGAGTTGAACCTTCCTTTAGACAGAGCAGATTTGAAAGTCTCTTTTTGTGGAATTTGCAAGTGGAGATTTCAAGCGCTTTGAGGCCAAAAGCAGAAAAGGAAATATTTTCCTATAAAACCTCGACAGAATCTTTCTCAGAAACTGCTCTGGGATGTGTGCGTTCAACTCACAGAGTTTAACTTTTCTTTTCATTCAGCAGTTTGGAAACACTCTGTTTGGAAAGTCTGCACGTGGATATTTTGACCTCTTTGAGGCCTTCGTTGGAAACGGGTTTTTTTCATGTAAGGCTAGACAGAAGAAATCTCAGTAACTTCCTTGTGTTGTGTGTATTCAACTGACAGAGTTGAACCTTCCTTTAGACAGAGCAGATTCGAAACACTCTTTTTCTGCAATTTGCAAGTGGAGACTTCAAGCGCTTTGAGGCCAAAGGCAGAAAAGGAAATATCTTCGTATAAGAACCCGACAGAATCATTCTCAGAAACTGCTCTGTGATGTGTGCGTTCAACTCACAGAGTTTAACTTTTCTTTTCATTCAGCAGTTTGGAAACACTCTGTTTGTAAAGTCTGCAAGTGGATATCTTGGCCTCTTAGAGGCCTTCGTTGGAAACGGGTTTTTTCATGTAAGGATAGACAGAGGAATTCCCAGTAACTTCCTTGTGTTGTGTGCATTCAACTCACAGAGTTGAATGATTCTTTACACAGAGCAGATTTGAGACACTCTTTTGGTGGAATTTGTAAGTGGAGAATTCAGCCGCTTTGAGGTCAACGGTAGAAAAGGAAATATCTTCGTATAAAAACTAGACAGAATGATTCTCAGAAACTGTTTTGTGATGTGTGCGTTCAACTCACAGAGTTTAACCTTTCTTTTCAGAGAGCAGTTAGGAAACACTCTGTAAAGTCTGCAAGTGGATATTCAGACCTCTTTGAGGCCTTCGTTGGAAACGGGATTTCTTCATATTATGCTAGACAGATGAATTCTCAGTAACTTCCTTGTGTTGTGTGTATTCAACTCACAGAGTTGAACGATCCTTTACACAGAGCAGATTTGAAACACTGTTTTTCTGGAATTTGCAAGTGGAGATTTCAGCCGCTTTGAGGTCAATGGTAGAAAAGGAAATATCTTCGTATAAAAACTAGACAGAATGATTCTCAGAAACTCCTTTGTGATGTGTGCGTTCAACTCACAGAGTTTAACCTTTCTTTTCACAGAGCAGTTAGGAAACACTCTGTTTGTGAAGCCTGCCAGTGGATATTCGGACCTCTTTCAGGCCTTCGTTGGAAACGGGATTTCTTCATATTATGCTAGACAGAAGATTTCTCAGTAACTTCTTTGTGTTGTGTGTATGCAACTCACAGAGTTCAACCTTCCTTTAGAAAGAGCAGATTTGAAACACTCTTTTTGTGGAATTTGCAAGTGGAGATTTCAAGCGCTTCGATGCCAATGGTAGAAAAGGAAATATCTTCGTATAAAAACAAGACAAACTCGTTCCCAGACACTGCGTAGTGATGTGTGTGTTTAACTCACAGAGTTTCACCTTTCTTTTCATACAGCATTCTGGAAACCCTCTGTTTGTAAAGTCTGCAAGTCGATATTTGGACCTCTTAGATGCCTTCGTTGGAAACGGGATTTCTTCATATAATGCTAGAGGGAAGAATTCTTAGTAACTTCTTTGTGTTGTGTGTATTCAACTGACAGAGTTGAACCTTCCTTTAGACAGAGCAGATTTGAAAGTCTCTTTTTGTGGAATTTGCAAGTGGAGATTTCAAGCGCTTTGAGGCCAAAAGCAGAAAAGGAAATATTTTCCTATAAAAACTAGACAGAATCATTCTCAGAAACTGCTCTGTGATGTGTGTGTTCAACTCAGAGAGTTTAACTTTCTTTTCATTCAGCAGTTTGGAAACACTCTGTTTGGAAAGTCTGCACGTGGATATTTTGACCTCTTTGAGGCCTTCGTTGGAAACGAGTTTTTTTCATGTAAGGCTAGACAGAAGAAATCTCAGTAACTTCCTTGTGTTGTGTGTATTCAACTGACAGAGTTGAACCTTCCTTTAGACAGAGCAGATTCGAAACACTCTTTTTCTGCAATTTGCAAGTGGAGACTTCAAGCGCTTTGAGGCCAAAGGCAGAAAAGGAAATATCTTCGTATAAAAACCCGACAGAATCATTCTCAGAAACTGCTCTGTGATGTGTGCGTTCAACTCACAGAGTTTAACTTTTCTTTTCATTCAGCAGTTTGGAAACACTCTGTTTGTAAAGTCTGCAAGTGGATATCTTGGCCTCTTAGAGGCCTTCGTTGGAAGCGGGTTTTTTCATGTAAGGATAGACAGAGGAATTCCCAGTAACTTCCTTGTGTTGTGTGCATTCAACTCACAGAGTTGAATGATTCTTTACACAGAGCAGATTTGAGACACTCTTTTGGTGGAATTTGTAAGTGGAGAATTCAGCCGCTTTGAGGTCAACGGTAGAAAAGGAAATATCTTCGTATAAAAACTAGACAGAATGATTCTCAGAAACTGTTTTGTGATGTGTGCGTTCAACTCACAGAGTTTAACCTTTCTTTTCAAAGAGCAGTTAGGAAACACTCTGTTTGTAAAGTCTGCAAGTGGATATTCAGACCTCTTTGAGGCCTTCGTTGGAAACGGGATTTCTTCATATTATGCTAGACAGATGAATTCTCAGTAACTTCCTTGTGTTGTGTGTATTCAACTCACAGAGTTGAACGATCCTTTACACAGAGCAGATTTGAAACACTGTTTTTCTGGAATTTGCAAGTGGAGATTTCAGCCGCTTTGAGGTCAATGGTAGAAAAGGAAATATCTTCGTATAAAAACTAGACAGAATGATTCTCAGAAACTCCTTTGTGATGTGTGCGTTCAACTCACAGAGTTTAACCTTTCTTTTCACAGAGCAGTTAGGAAACACTCTGTTTGTGAAGCCTGCCAGTGGATATTCGGACCTCTTTGAGGCCTTCGTTGGAAACGGGATTTCTTCATATTATGCTAGACAGAAGATTTCTCAGTTACTTCTTTGTGTTGTGTGTATGCAACTCACAGAGTTCAACCTTCCTTTAGACAGAGCAGATTTGAAACACTCTTTTTGTGGAATTTGCAAGTGGAGATTTCAAGCGCTTCGATGCCATTAGTAGAAAAGGAAATAGCTTCGTACAAAAACAAGACAAACTCGTTCCCAGACACTGCGTAGTGATGTGTGTGTTTAACTCACAGAGTTTAACCTTTCTTTTCATACAGCATTCTGGAAACCCTCTGTTTGTAAAGTCTGCAAGTGGATATTTGGACCTCTTAGATGCCTTCGTTGGAAACGGCATTTCTTCATATAATGCTAGAGGGAAGAATTCTTAGTAACTTCTTTGTGTTGTGTGTATTCAACTGACAGAGTTGAAGCTTCCTTTAGACAGAGCAGATTTGAAAGTCTCTTTTTGTGGAATTTGCAAGTGGAGATTTCAAGCGCTTTGAGGCCAAAAGCAGAAAAGGAAATATTTTCCTATAAAAACTAGACAGAATCTTTCTCAGAAACTGCTCTGGGATGTGTGCGTTCAACTCACAGAGTTTAACTTTTCTTTTCATTCAGCAGTTTGGAAACACTCTGTTTGGAAAGTCTGCACGTGGATATTTTGACCTCTTTGAGGCCTTCGTTGGAAACGGGTTTTTTTCATGTAACGCTAGACAGAAGAAATCTCAGTAACTTCCTTGTGTTGTGTGTATTCAACTGACAGAGTTGAACCTTCCTTTAGACAGAGCAGATTCGAAACACACTTTTTCTGCAATTTGCAAGTGGAGACTTCAAGCGCTTTGAGGCCAAAGGCAGAAAAGGAAATATCTTCGTATAAAAACCCGACAGAATCATTCTCAGAAACTGCTCTGTGATGTGTGCGTTCAACTCACAGAGTTTAACTTTTCTTTTCATTCAGCAGTTTGGAAACACTCTGTCTGTAAAGTCTGCAAGTGGATATCTTGGCCTCTTAGAGGCCTTCGTTGGAAACGGGTTTTTTCATGTAAGGTTAGACAGAGGAATTCCCAGTAACTTCCTTGTGTTGTGTGCATTCAACTCACAGAGTTGAATGATTCTTTACACAGAGCAGATTTGAGACACTCTTTTGGTGGAATTTGTAAGTGGAGAATTCAGCCGCTTTGAGGTCAACGGTAGAAAAGGAAATATCTTCGTATAAAAACTAGACAGAATGATTCTCAGAAACTGTTTTGTGATGTGTGCGTTCAACTCACAGAGTTTAACCTTTCTTTTCAAAGAGCAGTTAGGAAACACTCTGTTTGTAAAGTCTGCAAGTGGATATTCAGACCTCTTTGAGGCCTTCGTTGGAAACGGGATTTCTTCATATTATGTTAGACAGATGAATTCTCAGTAACTTCCTTGTGTTGTGTGTATTCAACTCACAGAGTTGAACGATCCTTTACACAGAGCAGATTTGAAACACTGTTTTTCTGGAATTTGCAAGTGGAGATTTCAGCCGCTTTGAGGTCAATGGTAGAAAAAGAAATATCTTCGTATAAAAACTAGACAGAATGATTCTCAGAAACTCCTTTGTGATGTGTGCGTTCAACTCACAGAGTTTAACCTTTCTTTTCACAGAGCAGTTAGGAAACACTCTGTTTGTGAAGCCTGCCAGTGGATATTCGGACCTCTTTGAGGCCTTCGTTGGAAACGGGATTTCTTCATATTATGCTAGACAGAAGATTTCTCAGTAACTTCTTTGTGTTGTGTGTATGCAACTCACAGAGTTCAACCTTCCTTTAGACAGAGCAGATTTGAAACACTCTTTTTGTGGAATTTGCAAGTGGAGATTTCAAGCGCTTCGATGCCAATGGTAGAAAAGGAAATATCTTCGTATAAAAACAAGACAAACTCGTTCCCAGACACTGCGTAGTGATGTGTGTGTTTAACTCACAGAGTTTAACCTTTCTTTTCATACAGCATTCTGGAAACCCTGTGTTTGTAAAGTCTGCAAGTGGATATTTGGACCTCTTAGATGCCTTCGTTGGAAACGGGATTTCTTCATATAATGCTAGAGGGAAGAATTCTTAGTAACTTCTTTGTGTTGTGTGTATTCAACTGACAGAGTTGAACCTTCCTTTAGACAGAGCAGATTTGAAAGTCTCTTTTTGTGGAATTTGCAAGTGGAGATTTCAAGCGCTTTGAGGCCAAAAGCAGAAAAGGAAATATTTTCCTATAAAAACTCGACAGAATCTTTCTCAGAAACTGCTCTGGGATGTGTGCGTTCAACTCACAGAGTTTAACTTTTCTTTTCATTCAGCAGTTTGGAAACACTCTGTTTGGAAAGTCTGCACGTGGATATTTTGACCTCTTTGAGGCCTTCGTTGGAAACGGGTTTTTTTCATGTAAGGCTAGACAGAAGAAATCTCAGTAACTTCCTTGTGTTGTGTGTATTCAACTGACAGAGTTGAACCTTCCTTTAGACAGAGCAGATTCGAAACACTCTTTTTCTGCAATTTGCAAGTGGAGACTTCAAGCGCTTTGAGGCCAAAGGCAGAAAAGGAAATATCTTCGTATAAAAACCCGACAGAATCATTCTCAGAAACTGCTCTGTGATGTGTGCGTTCAACTCACAGAGTTTAACTTTTCTTTTCATTCAGCAGTTTGGAAACACTCTGTTTGTAAAGTCTGCAAGTGGATATCTTGGCCTAATTAGAGGCCTTCGTTGGAAACGGGTTTTTTCATGTAAGGTTAGACAGAGGAATTCCCAGTAACTTCCTTGTGTTGTGTGCATTCAACTCACAGAGTTGAATGATTCTTTACACAGAGCAGATTTGAGACACTCTTTTGGTGGAATTTGTAAGTGGAGAATTCAGCCGCTTTGAGGTCAACGGTAGAAAAGGAAATATCTTCGTATAAAAACTAGACAGAATGATTCTCAGAAACTGTTTTGTGATGTGTGCGTTCAACTCACAGAGTTTAACGTTTCTTTTCAAAGAGCAGTTAGGAAACACTCTGTTTGTAAAGTCTGCAAGTGGATATTCAGACCTCTTTGAGGCCTTCGTTGGAAACGGGATTTCTTCATATTATGCTAGACAGATGAATTCTCAGTAACTTCCTTGTGTTGTGTGTATTCAACTCACAGAGTTGAACGATCCTTTACACAGAGCAGATTTGAAACACTGTTTTTCTGGAATTTGCAAGTGGAGATTTCAGCCGCTTTGAGGTCAATGGTAGAAAAGGAAATATCTTCGTATAAAAACTAGACAGAATGATTCTCAGAAACTCCTTTGTGATGTGTGCGTTCAACTCACAGAGTTTAACCTTTCTTTTCACAGAGCACTTAGGAAACACTCTGTTTGTGAAGCCTGCCAGTGGATATTCGGACCTCTTTGAGGCCTTCGTTGGAAACGGGATTTCTTCATATTATGCTAGACAGAAGAATTCTCAGTAACTTCTTTGTGTCGTGTGTATGCAACTCACAGAGTTCAACCTTCCTTTAGACAGAGCAGATTTGAAACACTCTTTTTATGGAATTTGCAAGTGGAGATTTCAAGTGCTTTGAGGCCAAAGGTAGAAAAGGAAATATGTTCGTATAAAAAGTAGACAGAATCTTTCTCAGAAACTGCTCTGGGATGTGTGCGTTCAACTCACAGAGTTTAACTTTTCTTTTCATTCAGCAGTTTGGAAACACTCTGTTTGGAAAGTCTGCACGTGGATATTTTGACCTCTTTGAGGCCTTCGTTGGAAACGGGTTTTTTTCATGTAAGGCTAGACAGAAGAAATCTCAGTAACTTCCTTGTGTTGTGTGTATTCAACTGACAGAGTTGAACCTTCCTTTAGACAGAGCAGATTCGAAACACTCTTTTTCTGCAATTTGCAAGTGGAGACTTCAAGCGCTTTGAGGCCAAAGGCAGAAAAGGAAATATCTTCGTATAAAAACCCGACAGAATCATTCTCAGAAACTGCTCTGTGATGTGTGCGTTCAACTCACAGAGTTTAACTTTTCTTTTCATTCAGCAGTTTGGAAACACTCTGTTTGTAAAGTCTGCAAGTGGATATCTTGGCCTCTTAGAGGCCTTCGTTGGAAACGGGTTTTTTCATGTAATGTTAGACAGAGGAATTCCCAGTAACTTCCTTGTGTTGTGTGCATTCAACTCACAGAGTTGAATGATTCTTTACACAGAGCAGATTTGAGACACTCTTTTGGTGGAATTTGTAAGTGGAGAATTCAGCCGCTTTGAGGTCAACGGTAGAAAAGGAAATATCTTCGTATAAAAACTAGACAGAATGATTCTCAGAAACTGTTTTGTGATGTGTGCGTTCAACTCACAGAGTTTAACCTTTCTTTTCAAAGAGCAGTTAGGAAACACTCTGTTTGTAAAGTCTGCAAGTGGATATTCAGACCTCTTTGAGGCCTTCGTTGGAAACGGGATTTCTTCATATTATGCTAGACAGATGAATTCTCAGTAACTTCCTTGTGTTGTGTGTATTCAACTCACAGAGTTGAACGATCCTTTACACAGAGCAGATTTGAAACACTGTTTTTCTGGAATTTGCAAGTGGAGATTTCAGCCGCTTTGAGGTCAATGGTAGAAAAAGAAATATCTTCGTATAAAAACTAGACAGAATGATTCTCAGAAACTCCTTTGTGATGTGTGCGTTCAACTCACAGAGTTTAACCTTTCTTTTCACAGAGCAGTTAGGAAACACTCTGTTTGTGAAGCCTGCCAGTGGATATTCGGACCTCTTTGAGGCCTTCGTTGGAAACGGGATTTCTTCATATTATGCTAGACAGAAGATTTCTCAGTAACTTCTTTGTGTTGTGTGTATGCAACTCACAGAGTTCAACCTTCCTTTAGACAGAGCAGATTTGAAACACTCTTTTTGTGGAATTTGCAAGTGGAGATTTCAAGCGCTTCGATGCCAATGGTAGAAAAGGAAATATCTTCGTATAAAACAAGACAAAACTCGTTCCCAGACACTGCGTAGTGATGTGTGTGTTTAACTCACAGAGTTTCACCTTTCTTTTCATACAGCATTCTGGAAACCCTCTGTTTGTAAAGTCTGCAAGTGGATATTTGGACCTCTTAGATGCCTTCGTTGGAAACGGGATTTCTTCATATAATGCTAGAGGGAAGAATTCTTAGTAACTTCTTTGTGTTGTGTGTATTCAACTGACAGAGTTGAACCTTCCTTTAGACAGAGCAGATTTGAAAGTCTCTTTTTGTGGAATTTGCAAGTGGAGATTTCAAGCGCTTTGAGGCCAAAAGCAGAAAAGGAAATATTTTCCTATAAAAACTCGACAGAATCTTTCTCAGAAACTGCTCTGTGATGTGTGCGTTCAACTCACAGAGTTTAACTTTTCTTTTCATTCAGCAGTTTGGAAACACTCTGTTTGGAAAGTCTGCACGTGGATATTTTGACCTCTTTGAGGCCTTCGTTGGAAACGGGTTTTTTTCATGTAAGGCTAGACAGAAGAAATCTCAGTAACTTCCTTGTGTTGTGTGTATTCAACTGACAGAGTTGAACCTTCCTTTAGACAGAGCAGATTCGAAACACTCTTTTTCTGCAATTTGCAAGTGGAGATTTCAAGCGCTTTGAGGCCAAAGGCAGAAAAGGAAATATCTTCGTATAAAAACCCGACAGAATCATTCTCAGAAACTGCTCTGTGATGTGTGCGTTCAACTCACAGAGTTTAACTTTTCTTTTCATTCAGCAGTTTGGAAACACTCTGTTTGTAAAGTCTGCAAGTGGATATCTTGGCCTCTTAGAGGCCTTCGTTGGAAACGGGTTTTTTCATGTAAGGATAGACAGAGGAATTCCCAGTAACTTCCTTGTGTTGTGTGCATTCAACTCACAGAGTTGAATGATTCTTTACACAGAGCACATTTGAGACACTCTTTTGGTGGAATTTGTAAGTGGAGAATTCAGCCGCTTTGAGGTCAACGGTAGAAAAGGAAATATCTTCGTATAAAAACTAGACAGAATGATTCTCAGAAACTGTTTTGTGATGTGTGCGTTCAACTCACAGAGTTTAACCTTTCTTTTCAAAGAGCAGTTAGGAAACACTCTGTTTGTAAAGTCTGCAAGAGGATATTCAGACCTCTTTGAGGCCTTCGTTGGAAACGGGATTTCTTCATATTATGCTAGACAGATGAATTCTCAGTAACTTCCTTGTGTTGTGTGTATTCAACTCACAGAGTTGAACGATCCTTTACACAGAGCAGATTTGAAACACTGTTTTTCTGGAATTTGCAAGTGGAGATGTCAGCCGCTTTGAGGTCAATGGTAGAAAAGGAAATATCTTCGTATAAAAACTAGACAGAATGATTCTCAGAAACTCCTTTGTGATGTGTGCGTTCAACTCACAGAGTTTAACCTTTCTTTTCACAGAGCAGTTAGGAAACACTCTGTTTGTGAAGCCTGCCAGTGGATATTCGGACCTCTTTGAGGCCTTCGTTGGAAACGGGATTTCTTCATATTATGCTAGACAGAAGATTTCTCAGTAACTTCTTTGTGTTGTGTGTATGCAACTCACAGAGTTCAACCTTCCTTTAGACAGAGCAGATTTGAAACACTCTTTTTGTGGAATTTGCAAGTGGAGATTTCAAGCGCTTCGATGCCAATGGTAGAAAAGGAAATATCTTCGTATAAAAACAAGACAAACTCGTTCCCAGACACTGCGTAGTGATGTGTGTGTTTAACTCACAGAGTTTAACCTTTCTTTTCATACAGCATTCTGGAAACCCTGTGTTTGTAAAGTCTGCAAGTGGATATTTGGACCTCTTAGATGCCTTCGTTGGAAACGGGATTTCTTCATATAATGCTAGAGGGAAGAATTCTTAGTAACTTCTTTGTGTTGTGTGTATTCAACTGACAGAGTTGAACCTTCCTTTAGACAGAGCAGATTTGAAAGTCTCTTTTTGTGGAATTTGCAAGTGGAGATTTCAAGCGCTTTGAGGCCAAAAGCAGAAAAGGAAATATTTTCCTATAAAAACTCGACAGAATCTTTCTCAGAAACTGCTCTGGGATGTGTGCGTTCAACTCACAGAGTTTAACTTTTCTTTCCATTCAGCAGTTTGGAAACACTCTGTTTGGAAAGTCTGCACGTGGATATTTTGACCTCTTTGAGGCCTTCGTTGGAAACGGGTTTTTTTCTTGTAAGGCTAGACAGAAGAAATCTCAGTAACTTCCTTGTGTTGTGTGTATTCAACTGACAGAGTTGAACCTTCCTTTAGACAGAGCAGATTCGAAACACTCTTTTTCTGCAATTTGCAAGTGGAGACTTCAAGCGCTTTGAGGCCAAAGGCAGAAAAGGAAATATCTTCGTATAAAAACCCGACAGAATCATTCTCAGAAACTGCTCTGTGATGTGTGCGTTCAACTCACAGAGTTTAACTTTTCTTTTCATTCAGCAGTTTGGAAACACTCTGTTTGTAAAGTCTGCAAGTGGATATCTTGGCCTCTTAGAGGCCTTCGTTGGAAACGGGTTTTTTCATGTAAGGTTAGACAGAGGAATTCCCAGTAACTTCCTTGTGTTGTGTGCATTCAACTCACAGAGTTGAATGATTCTTTACACAGAGCAGATTTGAGACACTCTTTTGGTGGAATTTGTAAGTGGAGAATTCAGCTGCTTTGAGGTCAACGGTAGAAAAGGAAATATCTTCGTATAAAAACTAGACAGAATGATTCTCAGAAACTGTTTTGTGATGTGTGCTTTCAACTCACAGAGTTTAACCTTTCTTTTCAAAGAGCAGTTAGGAAACACTCTGTTTGTAAAGTCTGCAAGTGGATATTCAGACCTCTTTGAGGCCTTCGTTGGAAACGGGATTTCTTCATATTATGCTAGACAGATGAATTCTCAGTAACTTCCTTGTGTTGTGTGTATTCAACTCACAGAGTTGAACGATCCTTTACACAGAGCAGATTTGAAACACTGTTTTTCTGGAATTTGCAAGTGGAGATTTCAGCCGCTTTGAGGTCAATGGTAGAAAAGGAAATATCTTCGTATAAAAACTAGACAGAATGATTCTCAGAAACTCCTTTGTGATGTGTGCGTTCAACTCACAGGGTTTAACCTTTCTTTTCACAGAGCAGTTAGGAAACACTCTGTTTGTGAAGCCTGCCAGTGGATATTCGGACCTCTTTGAGGCCTTCGTTGGAAACGGGATTTCTTCATATTATGCTATTCAGAAGATTTCTCAGTAACTTCTTTGTGTTGTGTGTATGCAACTCACAGAGTTCAACCTTCCTTTAGACAGAGCAGATTTGAAACACTCTTTTTGTGGAATTTGCAAGTGGAGATTTCAAGCGCTTCGATGCCAATGGTAGAAAAGGAAATATCTTCGTATAAAAACAAGACAAACTCGTTCCCAGACACTGCGTAGTGATGTGTGTGTTTCACTCACAGAGTTTAACCTTTCTTTTCATACAGCATTCTGGAAACCCTCTGTTTGTAAAGTCTGCAAGTCGATATTTAGACCTCTTAGATGCCTTCGTTGGAAACGGGATTTCTTCATATAATGCTAGAGGGAAGAATTCTTAGTAACTTCTTTGTGTTGTGTGTATTCAACTGACAGAGTTGAACCTTCCTTTAGACAGAGCAGATTTGAAAGTCTCTTTTTGTGGAATTTGCAAGTGGAGATTTCAAGCGCTTTGAGGCCAAAAGCAGAAAAGGAAATATTTTCCTATAAAACCTCGACAGAATCTTTCTCAGAAACTGCTCTGGGATGTGTGCGTTCAACTCACAGAGTTTAACTTTTCTTTTCATTCAGCAGTTTGGAAACACTCTGTTTGGAAAGTCTGCACGTGGATATTTTGACCTCTTTGAGGCCTTCGTTGGAAACGGGTTTTTTTCATGTAAGGCTAGACAGAAGAAATCTCAGTAACTTCCTTGTGTTGTGTGTATTCAACTGACAGAGTTGAACCTTCCTTTAGACAGAGCAGATTCGAAACACTCTTTTTCTGCAATTTGCAAGTGGAGACTTCAAGCGCTTTGAGGCCAAAGGCAGAAAAGGAAATATCTTCGTATAAAAACCCGACAGAATCATTCTCAGAAACTGCTCTGTGATGTGTGCGTTCAACTCACAGAGTTTAACTTTTCTTTTCATTCAGCAGTTTGGAAACACTCTGTTTGTAAAGTCTGCAAGTGGATATCTTGGCCTCTTAGAGGCCTTCGTTGGAAACGGGTTTTTTCATGTAAGGTTAGACAGAGGAATTCCCAGTAACTTCCTTGTGTTGTGTGCATTCAACTCACAGAGTTGAATGATTCTTTACACAGAGCAGTTTTGAGACACTCTTTTGGTGGAATTTGTAAGTGGAGAATTCAGCCGCTTTGAGGTCAACGGTAGAAAAGGAAATATCTTCGTATAAAAACTAGACAGAATGATTCTCAGAAACTGTTTTGTGATGTGTGCGTTCAACTCACAGAGTTTAACCTTTCTTTTCAAAGAGCAGTTAGGAAACACTCTGTTTGTAAAGTCTGCAAGTGGATATTCAGACCTCTTTGAGGCCTTCGTTGGAAACGGGATTTCTTCATATTATGCTAGACAGATGAATTCTCAGTAACTTCCTTGTGTTGTGTGTATTCAACTCACAGAGTTGAACGATCCTTTACACAGAGCAGATTTGAAACACTGTTTTTCTGGAATTTGCAAGTGGAGATTTCAGCCGCTTTGAGGTCAATGGTAGAAAAGGAAATATCTTCGTATAAAAACTAGACAGAATGATTCTCAGAAACTCCTTTGTGATGTGTGCGTTCAACTCACAGAGTTTAACCTTTCTTTTCACAGAGCAGTTAGGAAACACTCTGTTTGTGAAGCCTGCCAGTGGATATTCGGACCTCTTTGAGGCCTTCGTTGGAAACGGGATTTCTTCATATTATGCTAGACAGAAGATTTCTCAGTAACTTCTTTGTGTTGTGTGTATGCAACTCACAGAGTTCAACCTTCCTTTAGACAGAGCAGATTTGAAACACTCTTTTTGTGGAATTTGCAAGTGGAGATTTCAAGCGCTTTGAGGCCAAAAGCAGAAGAGGAAATATTTTCCTATAAAAACTAGACAGAATCTTTCTCAGAAACTGCTCTGGGATGTGTGCGTTCAACTCACAGAGTTTAACTTTTCTTTTCATTCAGCAGTTTGGAAACACTCTGTTTGGAAAGTCTGCACGTGGATATTTTGACCTCTTTGAGGCCTTCGTTGGAAACGGGTTTTTTTCATGTAAGGCTAGACAGAAGAAATCTCAGTAACTTCCTTGTGTTGTGTGTATTCAACTGACAGAGTTGAACCTTCCTTTAGACAGAGCAGATTCGAAACACTCTTTTTCTGCAATTTGCAAGTGGAGACTTCAAGCGCTTTGAGGTCAAAGGCAGAAAAGGATATATCTTCGTATAAAAACCCGACAGAATCATTCTCAGAAACTGCTCTGTGATGTGTGCGTTCAACTCACAGAGTTTAACTTTTCTTTTCATTCAGCAGTTTGGAAACACTCTGTTTGTAAAGTCTGCAAGTGGATATCTTGGCCTCTTAGAGGCCTTCGTTGGAAACGGGTTTTTTCATGTAAGGTTAGACAGAGGAATTCCCAGTAACTTCCTTGTGTTGTGTGCATTCAACTCACAGAGTTGAATGATTCTTTACACAGAGCAGATTTGAGACACTCTTTTGGTGGAATTTGTAAGTGGAGAATTCAGCCGCTTTGAGGTCAACGGTAGAAAAGGAAATATCTTCGTATAAAAACTAGACAGAATGATTCTCAGAAACTGTTTTGTGATGTGTGCGTTCAACTCACAGAGTTTAACCTTTCTTTTCAAAGAGCAGTTAGGAAACACTCTGTTTGTAAAGTCTGCAAGTGGATATTCAGACCTCTTTGAGGCCTTCGTTGGAAACGGGATTTCTTCATATTATGCTAGACAGATGAATTCTCAGTAACTTCCTTGTGTTGTGTGTATTCAACTCACAGAGTTGAACGATCCTTTACACAGAGCAGATTTGAAACACTGTTTTTCTGGAATTTGCAAGTGGAGATTTCAGCCGCTTTGAGGTCAACGGTAGAAAAGGAAATATCTTCGTATAAAAACTAGACAGAATGATTCTCAGAAACTCCTTTGTGATGTGTGCGTTCAACTCACAGGGTTTAACCTTTCTTTTCACAGAGCAGTTAGGAAACACTCTGTTTGTGAAGCCTGCCAGTGGATATTCGGACCTCTTTGAGGCCTTCGTTGGAAACGGGATTTCTTCATATTATGCTAGACAGAAGATTTCTCAGTAACTTCTTTGTGTTGTGTGTATGCAACTCACAGAGTTCAACCTTCCTTTAGACAGAGCAGATTTGAAACACTCTTTTTGTGGAATTTGCAAGTGGAGATTTCAAGCGCTTCGATGCCAATGGTAGAAAAGGAAATATCTTCGTATAAAAACAAGACAAACTCGTTCCCAGACACTGCGTAGTGATATGTGTGTTTAACTCACAGAGTTTAACCTTTCTTTTCATACAGCATTCTGGAAACCCTGTGTTTGTAAAGTCTGCAAGTGGATATTTGGACCTCTTAGATGCCTTCGTTGGAAACGGGATTTCTTCATATAATGCTAGAGGGAAGAATTCTTAGTAACTTCTTTGTGTTGTGTGTATTCAACTGACAGAGTTGAACCTTCCTTTAGACAGAGCAGATTTGAAAGTCTCTTTTTGTGGAATTTGCAAGTGGAGATTTCAAGCGCTTTGAGGCCAAAAGCAGAAAAGGAAATATTTTCCTATAAAAACTCGACAGAATCTTTCTCAGAAACTGCTCTGGGATGTGTGCGTTCAACTCACAGAGTTTAACTTTTCTTTTCATTCAGCAGTTTGGAAACACTCTGTTTGGAAAGTCTGCACGTGGATATTTTGACCTCTTTGAGGCCTTCGTTGGAAACGGGTTTTTTTCATGTAAGGCTAGACAGAAGAAATCTCAGTAACTTCCTTGTGTTGTGTGTATTCAACTGACAGAGTTGAACCTTCCTTTAGACAGAGCAGATTCGAAACACTCTTTTTCTGCAATTTGCAAGTGGAGACTTCAAGCGCTTTGAGGCCAAAGGCAGAAAAGGAAATATCTTCGTATAAAAACCCGACAGAATCATTCTCAGAAACTGCTCTGTGATGTGTGCGTTCAACTCACAGAGTTTAACTTTTCTTTTCATTCAGCAGTTTGGAAACACTCTGTTTGTAAAGTCTGCAAGTGGATATCTTGGCCTCTTAGAGGCCTTCGTTGGAAACGGGTTTTTTCATGTAAGGTTAGACAGAGGAATTCCCAGTAACTTCCTTGTGTTGTGTGCATTCAACTCACAGAGTTGAATGATTCTTTACACAGAGCAGATTTGAGACACTCTTTTGGTGGAATTTGTAAGTGGAGAATTCAGCCGCTTTGAGGTCAACGGTAGAAAAGGAAATATCTTCGTATAAAAACTAGACAGAATGATTCTCAGAAACTGTTTTGTGATGTGTGCGTTCAACTCACAGAGTTTAACCTTTCTTTTCAAAGAGCAGTTAGGAAACACTCTGTTTGTAAAGTCTGCAAGTGGATATTCAGACCTCTTTGAGGCCTTCGTTGGAAACGGGATTTCTTCATATTATGCTAGACAGATGAATTCTCAGTAACTTCCTTGTGTTGTGTGTATTCAACTCACAGAGTTGAACGATCCTTTACACAGAGCAGATTTGAAACACTGTTTTTCTGGAATTTGCAAGTGGAGATTTCAGCCGCTTTGAGGTCAATGGTAGAAAAAGAAATATCTTCGTATAAAAACTAGACAGAATGATTCTCAGAAACTCCTTTGTGATGTGTGCGTTCAACTCACAGAGTTTAACCTTTCTTTTCACAGAGCAGTTAGGAAACACTCTGTTTGTGAAGCCTGCCAGTGGATATTCGGACCTCTTTGAGGCCTTCGTTGGAAACGGGATTTCTTCATATTATGCTAGACAGAAGATTTCTCAGTAACTTCTTTGTGTTGTGTGTATGCAACTCACAGAGTTCAACCTTCCTTTAGACAGAGCAGATTTGAAACACTCTTTTTGTGGAATTTGCAAGTGGAGATTTCAAGCGCTTTGAGGCCAAAAGCAGAAAAGGAAATATTTTCCTATAAAAACTAGACAGAATCTTTCTCAGAAACTGCTCTGTGATGTGTGCGTTCAACTCACAGAGTTCAACTTTTCTTTTCATTCAGTAGTTTGGAAACACTCTGTTTGTAAAGTCTGCAAGTGGATATCTTGGCCTCTTAGAGGCCTTCGTTGGAAACGGGTTTTTTCATGTAAGGTTAGACAGAGGAATTCCCAGTAACTTCCCTTGTGTTGTGTGCATTCAACTCACAGAGTTGAATGATTCTTTACACAGAGCAGATTTGAGACACTCTTTTGGTGGAATTTGTAAGTGGAGAATTCAGCTGCTTTGAGGTCAACGGTAGAAAAGGAAATATCTTCGTATAAAAACTAGACAGAATGATTCTCAGAAACTGTTTTGTGATGTGTGCGTTCAACTCACAGAGTTTAACCTTTCTTTTCAAAGAGCAGTTAGGAAACACTCTGTTTGTAAAGTCTGCAAGTGGATATTCAGACCTCTTTGAGGCCTTCGTTGGAAACGGGATTTCTTCATATTATGCTAGACAGAAGAATTCTCAGTAACTTCCTTGTGTTGTGTGTATTCAACTCACAGAGTTGAACGATCCTTTACACAGAGCAGATTTGAAACACTCTTTTTCTGGAATTTGCAAGTGGAGATTTCAGCCGCTTTGAGGTCAATGGTAGAAAAGGAAATATCTTCGTATAAAAACTAGACAGAATGATTCTCAGAAACTCCTTTGTGATGTGTGCGTTCAACTCACAGAGTTTAACCTTTCTTTTCACAGACCAGTTAGGAAACACTCTGTGAAGTCTGCCAGTGGATATTAGTACCTCTTTGAGGCCTTCGTTGGAAACGGGATTTCTTCATATTATGCTAGACAGATTTCTCAGTAACTACTTTGTGTTGTGTGTATGCAACTCACAGAGTTCAACCTTCCTTTAGACAGAGCAGATTTGAAACACTCTTTTTGTGGAATTTGCAAGTGGAGATTTCAAGCGCTTCGACGCCAATGGTCGAAAAGGAAATATCTTCGTATAAAAACAAGACAAAATCATTCCCAGAAACTGCGTAGTGCTGTGTGTGTTTAACTCACAGAGTTTTACCTTTCTATTCATACACCATTCTGGAAACCCTCTGTTTGTAAAGTCTGCAAGTGGATATTTGGACCTCTTAGATGCCTTCGTTGGAAACGGGATTTCTTCCCATAATGCTAGAGGGAAGAATTCTTAGTAACTTCTTTGTGTTGTGTGTATTCAACTGACAGAGTTGAACCTTCCGTTAGACACAGCAGATTTGAAAGTCTCTTTTTGTGGAATTTGCAAGTGGAGATTTCAAGCGCTTTGAGGCCAAAAGCAGAAAAGGAAATATTTTCCTATAAAAACTAGACAGAATCATTCTCAGAAACTGCTCTGTGATGTGTGCGTTCAACTCACAGAGTTTAACATTTCTTTTCATTCAGCAGTTAGGAAACACTCTGTTTGTAAAGTCTGCAAGTGGATATTCAGACCTCTTTGAGGCCTTCGTTGGAAACGGGATTTCTTCATATTATGCTAGACAGAATGAATTCTCAGTAACTTCCTTGTGTTGTGTGTATTCAACTCACAGCAGTTGAACGATCCTTTACACAGAGCAGATTTGAAACACTGTTTTTCTGGAATTTGCAAGTGGAGATTTCAGCCGCTTTGAGGTCAATGGTAGAAAAGGAAATATCTTCGTATAAAAACTAGACAGAATGATTCTCAGAAACTCCTTTGTGATGTGTGCGTTCAACTCACAGAGTTTAACCTTTCTTTTCACAGAGCAGTTAGGAAACACTCTGTTTGTGAAGCCTGCCAGTGGATATTCGGACCTCTTTGAGGCCTTCGTTGGAAACGGGATTTCTTCATATTATGCTAGACAGAAGATTTCTCAGTAACTTCTTTGTGTTGTGTGTATGCAACTCACAGAGTTCAACCTTCCTTTAGACAGAGCAGATTTGAAACACTCTTTTTGTGGAATTTGCAAGTGGAGATTTCAAGCGCTTCGATGCCAATGGTAGAAAAGGAAATATCTTCGTATAAAAACAAGACAAACTCGTTCCCAGACACTGCGTAGTGATGTGTGTGTTTAACTCACAGAGTTTCACCTTTCTTTTCATACAGCATTCTGGAAACCCTCTGTTTGTAAAGTCTGCAAGTGGATATTTGGACCTCTTAGATGCCTTCGTTGCAAACGGGATTTCTTCATATAATGCTAGAGGGAAGAATTCTTAGTAACTTCTTTGTGTTGTGTGTATTCAACTGACAGAGTTGAACCTTCCTTTAGACAGAGCAGATTTGAAAGTCTCTTTTTGTGGAATTTGCAAGTGGAGATTTCAAGCGCTTTGAGGCCAAAAGCAGAAAAGGAAATATTTTCCTATAAAAACTAGACAGAATCTTTCTCAGAAACTGCTCTGGGATGTGTGCGTTCAACTCACAGAGTTTAACTTTTCTTTTCATTCAGCAGTTTGGAAACACTCTGTTTGGAAAGTCTGCACGTGGATATTTTGACCTCTTTGAGGCCTTCGTTGGAAACGGGTTTTTTTCATGTAAGGCTAGACAGAAGAAATCTCAGTAACTTCCTTGTGTTGTGTGTATTCAACTGACAGAGTTGAACCTTCCTTTAGACAGAGCAGATTCGAAACACTCTTTTTCTGCAATTTGCAAGTGGAGACTTCAAGCGCTTTGAGGCCAAAGGCAGAAAAGGAAATATCTTCGTATAAAAACCCGACAGAATCATTCTCAGAAACTGCTCTGTGATGTGTGCGTTCAACTCACAGAGTTTAACTTTTCTTTTCATTCAGCAGTTTGGAAACACTCTGTTTGTAAAGTCTGCAAGTGGATATCTTGGCCTCTTAGAGGCCTTCGTTGGTAGCGGGTTTTTTCATGTAAGGTTAGACAGAGGAATTCCCACTAACTTCCTTGTGTTGTGTGCATTCAACTCACAGAGTTGAATGATTCTTTACACAGAGCAGATTTGAGACACTCTTTTGGTGGAATTTGTAAGTGGAGAATTCAGCCGCTTTGATGTCAACGGTAGAAAAGGAAATATCTTCGTATAAAAACTAGACAGAATGATTCTCAGAAACTGTTTTGTGATGTGTGCTTTCAACTCACAGAGTTTAACCTTTCTTTTCAAAGAGCAGTTAGGAAACACTCTGTTTGTAAAGTCTGCAAGTGGATATTCAGACCTCTTTGAGGCCTTCGTTGGAAACGGGATTTCTTCATATTATGCTAGACAGATGAATTCTCAGTAACTTCCTTGTGTTGTGTGTATTCAACTCACAGAGTTGAACGATCCTTTACACAGAGCAGATTTGAAACACTGTTTTTCTGGAATTTGCAAGTGGAGATTTCAGCCGCTTTGAGGTCAATGGTAGAAAAGGAAATATCTTCGTATAAAAACTAGACAGAATGATTCTCAGAAACTCCTTTGTGATGTGTGCGTTCAACTCACAGAGTTTAACCTTTCTTTTCATACAGCATTCTGGAAACCCTCTGTTTGTAAAGTCTGCAAGTGGATATTTGGACCTCTTAGATGCCTTCGTTGGAAACGGGATTTCTTCATATAATGCTAGAGGGAAGAATTCTTAGTAACTTCTTTGTGTTGTGTGTATTCAACTGACAGAGTTGAACCTTCCTTTAGACAGAGCAGATTCGAAACACTCTTTTTCTGCAATTTGCAAGTGGAGACTTCAAGCGCTTTGAGGCCAAAGGCAGAAAAGGAAATATCTTCGTATAAAAACCCGACAGAATCATTCTCAGAAACTGCTCTGTGATGTGTGCGTTCAACTCACAGAGTTTAACTTTTCTTTTCATTCAGCAGTTTGGAAACACTCTGTTTGTAAAGTCTGCAAGTGGATATCTTGGCCTCTTAGAGGCCTTCGTTGGAAACGGGTTTTTTCATGTAAGGATAGACAGAGGAATTCCCAGTAACTTCCTTGTGTTGTGTGCATTCAACTCACAGAGTTGAATGATTCTTTACACAGAGCAGATTTGAGACACTCTTTTGGTGGAATTTGTAAGTGGAGAATTCAGCCGCTTTGAGGTCAACGGTAGAAAAGGAAATATCTTCGTATAAAAACTAGAAAGAATGATTCTCAGAAACTGTTTTGTGATGTGTGCGTTCAACTCACAGAGTTTAACCTTTCTTTTCAAAGAGCAGTTAGGAAACACTCTGTTTGTAAAGTCTGCAAGTGGATATTCAGACCTCTTTGAAGCCTTCGTTGGAAACGGGATTTCTTCATATTATGCTAGACAGATGAATTCTCAGTAACTTCCTTGTGTTGTGTGTATTCAACTCACAGAGTTGAACGATCCTTTACACAGAGCAGATTTGAAACACTGTTTTTCTGGAATTTGCAAGTGGAGATTTCAGCCGCTTTGAGGTCAATGGTAGAAAAGGAAATATCTTCGTATAAAAACTAGACAGAATGATTCTCAGAAACTCCTTTGTGATGTTTGCGTTCAACTCACAGAGTTTAACCTTTCTTTTCACAGAGCAGTTAGGAAACACTCTGTTTGTGAAGCCTGCCAGTGGATATTCGGACCTCTTTGAGGCCTTCGTTGGAAACGGGATTTCTTCATATTATGCTAGACAAAAGATTTCTCAGTAACTTCTTTGTGTTGTGTATATGCAACTCACAGAGTTCAACCTTCCTTTAGACAGAGCAGATTTGAAACACTCTTTTTGTGGAATTTGCAAGTGGAGATTTCAAGCGCTTCGATGCCAATGGTAGAAAAGGAAATATCTTCGTATAAAAACAAGACAAACTCGTTCCCAGACACTGCGTAGTGATGTGTGTGTTTAACTCACAGAGTTTCACCTTTCTTTTCATACAGCATTCTGGAAACCCTCTGTTTGTAAAGTCTGCAAGTGGATATTTGGATCTCTTAGATGCCTTCGTTGGAAACGGGATTTCTTCATATAATGCTAGAGGGAAGAATTCTTAGTAACTTCTTTGTGTTGTGTGTATTCAACTGACAGAGTTGAACCTTCCTTTAGACAGAGCAGATTTGAAAGTCTCTTTTTGTGGAATTTGCAAGTGGAGATTTCAAGCGCTTTGAGGCCAAAAGCAGAAAAGGAAATATTTTCCTATAAAAACTCGACAGAATCTTTCTCAGAAACTGCTCTGTGATGTGTGCGTTCAACTCACAGAGTTTAACTTTTCTTTTCATTCAGCAGTTTGGAAACACTTTGTTTGTAAAGTCTGCAAGTGGATATCTTGGCCTCTTAGAGGCCTTCGTTGGAAACGGGTTTTTTCATGTAAGGTTAGACAGAGGAATTCCCAGTAACTTCCTTGTGTTGTGTGCATTCAACTCACAGAGTTGAATGATTCTTTACACAGAGTAGATTTGAGACACTCTTTTGGTGGAATTTGTAAGTGGAGAATTCAGCTGCTTTGAGGTCAACGGTAGAAAAGGAAATATCTTCGTATAAAAACTAGACAGAATGATTCTCAGAAACTGTTTTGTGATGTGTGCTTTCAACTCACAGAGTTTAACCTTTCTTTTCAAAGAGCAGTTAGGAAACACTCTGTTTGTAAAGTCTGCAAGTGGATATTCAGACCTCTTTGAGGACTTCGTTGGAAACGGGATTTCTTCATATTATGCTAGACAGATGAATTCTCAGTAACTTCCTTGTGTTGTGTGTATTCAACTCACAGAGTTGAACGATCCTTTATACAGAGCAGATTTGAAACACTGTTTTTCTGGAATTTGCAAGTGGAGATTTCAGCCGCTTTGAGGTCAATGGTAGAAAAGGAAATATCTTCGTATAAAAACTGGACAGAATGATTCTCAGAAACTCCTTTGTGATGTGTGCGTTCAACTCACAGAGTTTAACCTTTCTTTTCACAGAGCAGTTAGGAAACACTCTGTGAAGCCTGCCAGTGGATATTCGGACCTCTTTGAGGCCTTCGTTGGAAACGGGATTTCTTCATATTATGCTAGACAGAAGATTTATCAGTAACTTCTTTGGGTTGTGTGTATGCAACTCACAGAGTTCAACCTTCCTTTAGACAGAGCAGATTTGAAACACTCTTTTTGTGGAATTTGCAAGTGGAGATTTCAAGCGCTTCGATGCCAATGGTAGAAAAGGAAATATCTTCGTATAAAAACAAGACAAACTCGTTCCCAGACACTGCGTAGTGAAATGGGTTGTGTGTTTAACTCACAGAGTTTAACCTTTCTTTTCATACAGCATTCTGGAAACCCTCTGTTTGTAAAGTCTGCAAGTCGATATTTGGACCTCTTAGATGCCTTCTTTGGAAACGGGATTTCTTCATATAATGCTAGAGGGAAGAATTCTTAGTAACTTCTTTGTGTTGTGTGTATTCAACTGACAGAGTTGAACCTTCCTTTAGACAGAGCAGATTTGAAAGTCTCTTTTTGTGGAATTTGCAAGTGGAGATTTCAAGCGCTTTGAGGCCAAAAGCAGAAAAGGAAATATTTTCCTATAAAAACTAGACAGAATCATTCTCAGAAACTGCTCTGTGATGTGTGTGTTCAACTCACAGAGTTTAACTTTCTTTTCATTCAGCAGTTTGGAAACACTCTGTTTGGAAAGTCTGCACGTGGATATTTTGACCTCTTTGAGGCCTTCGTTGGAAACGGGTTTTTTTCATGTAAGGCTAGACAGAAGAAATCTCAGTAACTTCCTTGTGTTGTGTGTATTCAACTGACAGAGTTGAACCTTCCTTTAGACAGAGCAGATTCGAAACACTCTTTTTCTGCAATTTGCAAGTGGAGACTTCAAGCGCTTTGAGGCCAAAGGCAGAAAAGGAAATATCTTCGTATAAAAACCCGACAGAATCATTCTCAGAAACTGCTCTGTGATATGTGCGTTCAACTCACAGAGTTTAACTTTTCTTTTCATTCAGCAGTTTGGAAACACTCTGTTTGTAAAGTCTGCAAGTGGATATCTTGGCCTCTTAGAGGCCTTCGTTGGAAACGGGTTTTTTCATGTAAGGTTAGACAGAGGAATTCCCAGTAACTTCCCTTGTGTTGTGTGCATTCAACTCACAGAGTTGAATGATGCTTTACACAGAGCAGATTTGAGACACTCTTTTGGTGGAATTTGTTAGTGGAGAATTCAGCCGCTTTGAGGTCAACGGTAGAAAAGGAAATATCTTCGTATAAAAACTAGACAGAATGATTCTCAGAAACTGTTTTGTGATGTGTGCGTTCAACTCACAGAGTTTAACCTTTCTTTTCAAAGAGCAGTTAGGAAACACTCTGTTTGTAAAGTCTGCAAGCGGATATTCAGACCTCTTTGAGGCCTTCGTTGGAAACGGGATTTCTTCATATTATGCTAGACAGATGAATTCTCAGTAACTTCCTTGTGTTGTGTGTATTCAACTCACAGAGTTGAACGATCCTTTACACAGAGCAGATTTGAAACACTGTTTTTCTGGAATTTGCAAGTGGAGATTTCAGCCGCTTTGAGGTCAATGGTAGAAAAGGAAATATCTTCGTATAAAAACTAGACAGAATGATTCTCAGAAACTCCTTTGTGATGTGTGCGTTCAACTCACAGAGTTTAACCTTTCTTTTCACAGAGCAGTTAGGAAACACTCTGTTTGTGAAGCCTGCCAGTGGATATTCGGACCTCTTGGAGGCCTTCGTTGGAAACGGGATTTCTTCATATTATGCTAGACAGAAGATTTCTCAGTAACTTCTTTGTGTTGTGTGTATGCAACTCACAGAGTTCAACCTTCCTTTAGACAGAGCAGATTTGAAACACTCTTTTTGTGGAATTTGCAAGTGGAGATTTCAAGCGCTTCGATGCCAATGGTAGAAAAGGAAATATCTTCATAGAAAAACAAGACAAACTCGTTCCCAGACACTGCGTAGTGTTGTGTGTGTTTAACTCAGAGAGTTTCACCTTTCTTTTCATACAGCATTCTGGAAACCCTCTGTTTGTAAAGTCTGCAAGTGGATATTTGGACCTCTTAGATGCCTTCGTTGGAAACGGGATTTCTTCATATAATGCTAGAGGGAAGAATTCTTAGTAACTTCTTTGTGTTGTGTGTATTCAACTGACAGAGTTGAACCTTCCTTTAGACAGAGCAGATTTGAAAGTCTCTTTTTGTGGAATTTGCAAGTGGAGATTTCAAGCGCTTTGAGGCCAAAAGCAGAAAAGGAAATATTTTCCTATAAAAACTAGACAGAATCTTTCTCAGAAACTGCTCTGGGATGTGTGCGTTCAACTCACAGAGTTTAACTTTTCTTTTCATTCAGCAGTTTGGAAACACTCTGTTTGGAAAGTCTGCACGTGGATATTTTGACCTCTTTGAGGCCTTCGTTGGAAACGGGTTTTTTTCATGTAAGGCTAGACAGAAGAAATCTCAGTAACTTCCTTGTGTTGTGTGTATTCAACTGACAGAGTTGAACCTTCTTTTAGACAGAGCAGATTCGAAACACTCTTTTTCTGCAATTTGCAAGTGGAGACTTCAAGCGCTTTGAGGCCAAAGGCAGAAAAGGAAATATCTTCGTATAAAAACCCGACAGAATCATTCTCAGAAACTGCTCTGTGATGTGTGCGTTCAACTCACAGAGTTTAACTTTTCTTTTCATTCAGCAGTTTGGAAACACTCTGTTTGTAAAGTCTGCAAGTGGATATCTTGGCCTCTTAGAGGCCTTCGTTGGAAACGGGTTTTTTCATGTAAGGTTAGACAGAGGAATTCCCAGTAACTTCCTTGTGTTGTGTGCATTCAACTCACAGAGTTGAATGATTCTTTACACAGAGCAGATTTGAGACACTCTTTTGGTGGAATTTGTTAGTGGAGAATTCAGCCGCTTTGAGGTCAGCGGTAGAAAAGGAAATATCTTCGTATAAAAACTAGACAGAATGATTCTCAGAAACTGTTTTGTGATGTGTGCGTTCAACTCACAGAGTTTAACCTTTCTTTTCAAAGAGCAGTTAGGAAACACTCTGTTTGTAAAGTCTGCAAGTGGATATTCAGACCTCTTTGAGGCCTTCGTTGGAAACGGGATTTCTTCATATTATGCTAGACAGATGAATTCTCAGTAACTTCCTTGTGTTGTGTGTATTCAACTCACAGAGTTGAATGATCCTTTACACAGAGCAGATTTGAAACACTGTTTTTCTGGAATTTGCAAGTGGAGATTTCAGCCGCTTTGAGGTCAATGGTAGAAAAGGAAATATCTTCGTATAAAAACTAGACAGAATGATTCTCAGAAACTCCTTTGTGATGTGTGCGTTCAACTCACAGAGTTTAACCTTTCTTTTCACAGAGTAGTTAGGAAACACTCTGTTTGTGAAGCCTGCCAGTGGATATTCGGACCTCTTTGAGGCCTTCGTTGGAAACGGGATTTCTTCATATTATGCTAGACAGAAGATTTCTCAGTAACTTCTTTGTGTTGTGTGTATGCAACTCACAGAGTTCAACCTTCCTTTAGACAGAGCAGATTTGAAACACTCTTTTTGTGGAATTTGCAAGTGGAGATTTCAAGCGCTTCGATGCCAATGGTAGAAAAGGAAATATCTTCGTATAAAAACAAGACAAACTCGTTCCCAGACACTGCGTAGTGATGTGTGTGTTTAACTCACAGAGTTTAACCTTTCTTTTCACAGAGCAGTTAGGAAACACTCTGTTTGTGAAGCCTGCCAGTGGATATTCGGACCTCTTTGAGGCCTTCGTTGGAAACGGGATTTCTTCATATTATGCTAGACAGAAGATTTCTCAGTAACTTCTTTGTGTTGTGTGTATGCAACTCACAGAGTTCAACCTTCCTTTAGACAGAGCAGATTTGAAACACTCTTTTTGTGGAATTTGCAAGTGGAAATTTCAAGCGCATCGATGCCAATGGTAGAAAAGGAAATATCTTCGTATAAAAACAAGACAAACTCGTTCCCAGACACTGCGTAGTGATGTGTGTGTTTAACTCACAGAGTTTAACCTTTCTTTTCATACAGCATTCTGGAAACCCTCTGTTTGTAAAGTCTGCAAGTGGATATTTGGACCTCTTAGATGCCTTCGTTGGAAACGGGATTTCCTCATATAATGCTAGAGGGAAGAATTCTTAGTAACTTCTTTGTGTTGTGTGTATTCAACTGACAGAGTTGAACCTTCCTTTAAACAGAGCAGATTTGAAAGTCTCTTTTTGTGGAATTTGCAAGTGGAGATTTCAAGCGCTTTGAGGCCAAAGGCAGAAAAGGAAATATTTTCCTATAAAAACTAGACAGAATCTTTCTCAGAAACTGCTCTGGGATGTGTGCGTTCAACTCACAGAGTTTAACTTTTCTTTTCATTCAGCAGTTTGGAAACACTCTGTTTGGAAAGTCTGCACGTGGATATTTTGACCTCTTTGAGGCCTTCGTTGGAAACGGGTTTTTTTCATGTAAGGCTAGACAGAAGAAATCTCAGTAACTTCCTTGTGTTGTGTGTATTCAACTGACAGAGTTGAACCTTCCTTTAGACAGAGCAGATTCGAAACACTCTTTTTCTGCAATTTGCAAGTGGAGACTTCAAGCGCTTTGAGGCCAAAGGCAGAAAAGGAAATATCTTCGTATAAAAACCCGACAGAATCATTCTCAGAAACTGCTCTGTGATGTGTGCGTTCAACTCACAGAGTTTAACTTTTCTTTTCATTTAGCAGTTTGGAAACACTCTGTTTGTAAAGTCTGCAAGTGGATATATTGGCCTACTTAGAGGCCTTCGTTGGAAACGGGTTTTTTTCATGTAAGGTTAGACAGAGGAATTCCCAGTAACTTCCTTGTGTTGTGTGCATTCAACTCACAGAGTTGAATGATTCTTTACACAGAGCAGATTTGAGACACTCTTTTGGTGGAATTTGTAGATGGAGAATTCAGCCGCTTTGAGGTCAATGGTAGAAAAGGAAATATCTTCGTATAAAACCTAGACAGAATGATTCTCAGAAACTGTTTTGTGATGTGTGCGTTCAACTCACAGAGTTTAACCTTTCTTTTCAAAGAGCAGTTAGGAAACACTCTGTTTGTAAAGTCTGCAAGTGGATATTCAGACCTCTTTGAGGCCTTCGTTGGAAACGGGATTTCTTCATATTATGCTAGACAGATGAATTCTCAGTAACTTCCTTGTGTTGTGTGTATTCAACTCACAGAGTTGAACGATCCTTTACACAGAGCAGATTTGAAACACTGTTTTTCTGGAATTTGCAAGTGGAGATTTCAGCCGCTTTGAGGTCAATGGTAGAAAAGGAAATATCTTCGTATAAAAACTAGACAGAATGATTCTCAGAAACTCCTTTGTGATGTGTGCGTTCAACTCACAGAGTTTAACCTTTCTTTTCACAGAGCAGTTAGGAAACACTCTGTTTGTGAAGCCTGCCAGTGGATATTCGGACCTCTTTGAGGCCTTCATTGGAAACGGGATTTCTTCATATTATGCTAGACAGAAGATTTCTCAGTAACTTCTTTGTGTTGTGTGTATGCAACTCACAGAGTTCAACCTTCCTTTAGACAGAGCAGATTTGAAACACTCTTTTTGTGGAATTTGCAAGTGGAGATTTCAAGCGCTTCGATGCCAATGGTAGAAAAGGAAATATCTTCGTATAAAAACAAGACAAAATCATTCCCAGAAACTGCGTAGTGATGTATGTGTTTAACTCACAGAGATTAACCTTTCTTTTCATACAGCATTCTGGAAACTCTCTGTTTGGAAAGTCTACAAGTGGATATTTGGAGCTCTTAGATGCCTTCTTTGGAAACGGAATTTCTTAATATAATTCTAGAGGGAAGAATTCTTAGTAACTTCTTTGTGTTATGTGTATTCAACTGACACAGTTGAACCTTCCTTTAGACAGAGCAGATTCGAAACACTCTTTATCTGGAATTTCCAAGAGGAGACTTCAAGCGCTTTCAGGCCAAAGGCAGAAAAGGCATTATCTTCGTATAAAAACTTGACATAATCATTCTCAGAAACTGCTCTGTGATGTGTGCGTTCAACTCACAGCAGTTTAACTTTTCTTTTCATTCAGCAGTTTGGAAACACTCTGTTTGTAAAGTCTGCAAGTGGATATCTTGGCCTCTTAGAGGCCTTCGTTGGAAACGGGTTTTTTCATGTAAGGATAGACACAGGAATTCCCAGTAACTTCCTTGTGTTGTGTGCATTCAACTCACAGAGTTGAATGATTCTTTACACAGAGCAGATTTGAGACACTCTTTTGGTGGAATTTGTAAGTGGAGAATTCAGCCGCTTTGAGGTCAACGGTAGAAAAGGAAATATCTTCGTATAAAAACTAGACAGAATGATTCTCAGAAACTGTTTTGTGATGTGTGCGTTCAACTCACAGAGTTTAACCTTTCTTTTCAGAGAGCAGTTAGGAAACACTCTGTAAAGTCTGCAAGTGGATATTCAGACCTCTTTGAGGCCTTCGTTGGAAACGGGATTTCTTCATATTATGCTAGACAGATGAATTCTCAGTAACTTCCTTGTGTTGTGTGTATTCAACTCACAGAGTTGAACGATCCTTTACACAGAGCAGATTTGAAACACTGTTTTTCTGGAATTTGCAAGTGGAGATTTCAGCCGCTTTGAGGTCAATGGTAGAAAAGGAAATATCTTCGTATAAAAACTAGACAGAATGATTCTCAGAAACTCCTTTGTGATGTGTGCGTTCAACTCACAGAGTTTAACCTTTCTTTTCACAGAGCAGTTAGGAAACACTCTGTTTGTGAAGCCTGCCAGTGGATATTCGGACCTCTTTCAGGCCTTCGTTGGAAACGGGATTTCTTCATATTATGCTAGACAGAAGATTTCTCAGTAACTTCTTTGTGTTGTGTGTATGCAACTCACAGAGTTCAACCTTCCTTTAGACAGAGCAGATTTGAAACACTCTTTTTGTGGAATTTGCAAGTGGAGATTTCAAGCGCTTCGATGCCAATGGTAGAAAAGGAAATATCTTCGTATAAAAACAAGACAAACTCGTTCCCAGACACTGCGTAGTGATGTGTGTGTTTAACTCACAGAGTTTCACCTTTCTTTTCATACAGCATTCTGGAAACCCTCTGTTTGTAAAGTCTGCAAGTGGATATTTGGACCTCTTAGATGCCTTCGTTGGAAACGGGATTTCTTCATATAATGCTAGAGGGAAGAATTCTTAGTAACTTCTTTGTGTTGTGTTTATTCAACTGACAGAGTTGAACCTTCCTTTAGACAGAGCAGATTTGAAAGTCTCTTTTTGTGGAATTTGCAAGTGGAGATTTCAAGCGCTTTGAGGCCAAAAGCAGAAAAGGAAATATTTTCCTATAAAAACTCGACAGAATCTTTCTCAGAAACTGCTCTGGGATGTGTGCGTTCAACTCACAGAGTTTAACTTTTCTTTTCATTCAGCAGTTTGGAAACACTCTGTTTGGAAAGTCTGCACGTGGATATTTTGACCTCTTTGAGGCCTTCGTTGGAAACGGGTTTTTTTCATGTAAGGCTAGACAGAAGAAATCTCAGTAACTTCCTTGTGTTGTGTGTATTCAACTGACAGAGTTGAACCTTCCTTTAGACAGAGCAGATTCGAAACACTCTTTTTCTGCAATTTGCAAGTGGAGACTTCAAGCGCTTTGAGGCCAAAGGCAGAAAAGGAAATATCTTCGTGTAAAAACCCGACAGAATCATTCTCAGAAACTGCTCTGTGATGTGTGCGTTCAACTCACAGAGTTTAACTTTTCTTTTCATTCAGCAGTTTGGAAACACTCTGTTTGTAAAGTCTGCAAGTGGATATCTTGGCCTCTTAGAGGCCTTCGTTGGAAACGGGTTTTTTCATGTAAGGTTAGACAGAGGAATTCCCAGTAACTTCCTTGTGTTGTGTGCACTCAACTCACAGAGTTGAATGATTCTTTACACAGAGCAGATTTGAGACACTCTTTTGGTGGAATTTGTAAGTGGAGAATTCAGCCGCTTTGAGGTCAACGGTAGAAAAGGAAATATCTTCGTATAAAAACTAGACAGAATGATTCTCAGAAACTGTTTTGTGATGTGTGCTTTCAACTCACAGAGTTTAACCTTTCTTTTCAAAGAGCAGTTAGGAAACACTCTGTTTGTAAAGTCTGCAAGTGGATATTCAGACCTCTTTGAGGCCTTCGTTGGAAACGGGATTTCTTCATATTATGCTAGACAGATGAATTCTCAGTAACTTCCTTGTGTTGTGTGTATTCAACTCACAGAGTTGAACGATCCTTTACACAGAGCAGATTTGAAACACTGTTTTTCTGGAATTTGCAAGTGGAGATTTCAGCCGCTTTGAGGTCAATGGTAGAAAAGGAAATATCTTCGTATAAAAACTAGACAGAATGATTCTCAGAAACTCCTTTGTGATGTGTGCGTTCAACTCACAGAGTTTAACCTTTCTTTTCACAGAGCAGTTAGGAAACACTCTGTTTGTGAAGCCTGCCAGTGGATATTCAGACCTCTTTCAGGCCTTCGTTGGAAACGGGATTTCTTCATATTATGCTAGACAGAAGATTTCTCAGTAACTTCTTTGTGTTGTGTGTATGCAACTCACAGAGTTCAACCTTCCTTTAGACAGAGCAGATTTGAAACACTCTTTTTGTGGAATTTGCAAGTGGAGATTTCAAGCGCTTCGATGCCAATGGTAGAAAAGGAAATATCTTCGTATAAAAACAAGACAAACTCGTTCCCAGACACTGCGTAGTGATGTGTGTGTTTAACTCACAGAGTTTCACCTTTCTTTTCATACAGCATTCTGGAAACCCTCTGTTTGTAAGTCTGCAAGTGGATATTTGGACCTCTTAGATGCCTTCGTTGGAAACGGGATTTCTTCATATAATGCTAGAGGGAAGAATTCTTAGTAACTTCTTTGTGTTGTGTGTATTCAACTGACAGAGTTGAACCTTCCTTTAGACAGAGCAGATTTGAAAGTCTCTTTTTGTGGAATTTGCAAGTGGAGATTTCAAGCGCTTTGAGGCCAAAAGCAGAAAAGGAAATATTTTCCTATAAAAACTAGACAGAATCTTTCTCAGAAACTGCTCTGGGATGTGTGCGTTCAACTCACAGAGTTTAACTTTTCTTTTCATTCAGCAGTTTGGAAACACTCTGTTTGGAAAGTCTGCACGTGGATATTTTGACCTCTTTGAGGCCTTCGTTGGAAACGGGTTTTTTTCATGTAACGCTAGACAGAAGAAATCTCAGTAACTTCCTTGTGTTGTGTGTATTCAACTGACAGAGTTGAACCTTCCTTTAGACAGAGCAGATTCGAAACACTCTTTTTCTGCAATTTGCAAGTGGAGACTTCAAGCGCTTTGAGGCCAAAGGCAGAAAAGGAAATATCTTCGTATAAAAACCCGACAGAATCATTCTCAGAAACTGCTCTGTGATGTGTGCGTTCAACTCACAGAGTTTAACTTTTCTATTCATTCAGCAGTTTGGAAACACTCTGTTTGTAAAGTCTGCAAGTGGATATCTTGGCCTCTTAGAGGCCTTCGTTGGAAACGGGTTTTTTCATGTAAGGTTAGACAGAGGAATTCCCAGTAACTTCCTTGTGTTGTGTGCATTCAACTCACAGAGTTGAATGATTCTTTACACAGAGCAGATTTGAGACACTCTTTTGGTGGAATTTGTAAGTGGAGAATTCAGCCGCTTTGAGGTCAACGGTAGAAAAGGAAATATCTTCGTATAAAAACTAGACAGAATGATTCTCAGAAACTGTTTTGTGATGTGTGCGTTCAACTCACAGAGTTTAACCTTTCTTTTCAAAGAGCAGTTAGGAAACACTCTGTTTGTAAAGTCTACAAGTGGATATTCAGACCTCTTTGAAGCCTTCGTTGGAAACGGGATTTCATCATATTATGCTAGACAGATGAATTCTCAGTAACTTCCTTGTGTTGTGTGTATTCAACTCACAGAGTTGAACGATCCTTTACACAGAGCAGATTTGAAACACTGTTTTTCTGGAATTTGCAAGTGGAGATGTCAGCCGCTTTGAGGTCAATGGTAGAAAAGGAAATATCTTCGTATAAAAACTAGACAGAATGATTCTCAGAAACTCCTTTGTGATGTGTGCGTTCAACTCACAGAGTTTAACCTTTCTTTTCACAGAGCAGTTAGGAAACACTCTGTTTGTGAAGCCTGCCAGTGGATATTCGGACCTCTTTGAGGCCTTCGTTGGAAACGGGATTTCTTCATATTATGCTAGACAGAAGATTTCTCAGTAACTTCTTTGTGTTGTGTGTATGCAACTCACAGAGTTCAACCTTCCTTTAGACAGAGCAGATTTGAAACACTCTTTTTGTGGAATTTGCAAGTGGAGATTTCAAGCGCTTCGATGCCAATGGTAGAAAAGGAAATATCTTCGTATAAAAACAAGACAAACTCGTTCCCAGACACTGCGTAGTGATGTGTGTGTTTAACTCACAGAGTTTAACCTTTCTTTTCATACAGCATTCTGGAAACCCTGTGTTTGTAAAGTCTGCAAGTGGATATTTGGACCTCTTAGATGCCTTCGTTGGAAACGGGATTTCTTCATATAATGCTAGAGGGAAGAATTCTTAGTAACTTCTTTGTGTTGTGTGTATTCAACTGACAGAGTTGAACCTTCCTTTAGACAGAGCAGATTTGAAAGTCTCTTTTTGTGGAATTTGCAAGTGGAGATTTCAAGCGCTTTGAGGCCAAAAGCAGAAAAGGAAATATTTTCCTATAAAAACTCGACAGAATCTTTCTCAGAAACTGCTCTGGGATGTGTGCGTTCAACTCACAGAGTTTAACATTTCTTTCCATTCAGCAGTTTGGAAACACTCTGTTTGGAAAGTCTGCACGTGGATATTTTGACCTCTTTGAGGCCTTCGTTGGAAACGGGTTTTTTTCTTGTAAGGCTAGACAGAAGAAATCTCAGTAACTTCCTTGTGTTGTGTGTATTCAACTGACAGAGTTGAACCTTCCTTTAGACAGAGCAGATTCGAAACACTCTTTTTCTGCAATTTGCAAGTGGAAACTTCAAGCGCTTTGAGGCCAAAGGCAGAAAAGGAAATATCTTCGTATAAAAACCCGACAGAATCATTCTCAGAAACTGCTACTGTGATGTGTGCGTTCAACTCACAGAGTTTAACTTTTCTTTTCATTCAGCAGTTTGGAAACACTCTGTTTGTAAAGTCTGCAAGTGGATATCTTGGCCTCTTAGAGGCCTTCGTTGGAAACGGGTTTTTTCATGTAAGGATAGACAGAGGAATTCCCAGTAACTTCCTTGTGTTGTGTGCATTCAACTCACAGAGTTGAATGATTCTTTACACAGAGCAGATTTGAGACACACTTTTGGTGGAATTTGTAAGTGGAGAATTCAGCCGCTTTGAGGTCAACGGTAGAAAAGGAAATATCTTCGTATAAAAACTAGAAAGAATGATTCTCAGAAACTGTTTTGTGATGTGTGCGTTCAACTCACAGAGTTTAACCTTTCTTTTCAAAGAGCAGTTAGGAAACACTCTGTTTGTAAAGTCTGCAAGTGGATATTCAGACCTCTTTGAGGCCTTCGTTGGAAACGGGATTTCTTCATATTATGCTAGACAGATGAATTCTCAGTAACTTCCTTGTGTTGTGTGTATTCAACTCACAGAGTTAAACGATCCTTTACACAGAGCAGATTTGAAACACTGTTTTTCTGGAAGTTGCAAGTGGAGATTTCAGCCGCTTTGAGGTCAATGGTAGAAAAGGAAATATCTTCGTATAAAAACTAGACAGAATGATTCTCAGAAACTCCTTTGTGATGTGTGCGTTCAACTCACAGAGTTTAACCTTTCTTTTCACAGAGCAGTTAGGAAACACTCTGTTTGTGAAGCCTGCCAGTGGATATTCGGACCTCTTTGAGGCCTTCGTTGGAAACGGGATTTCTTCATATTATGCTAGACAGAAGATTTCTCAGTAACTTCTTCGGGTTGTGTGTATGCAACTCACAGAGTTCAACCTTCCTTTAGACAGAGCAGATTTGAAACACTCTTTTTGTGGAATTTGCAAGTGGAGATTTCAAGCGCTTCGATGCCAATGGTAGAAAAGGAAATATCCTTCGTATAAAAACAAGACAAACTCGTTCCCAGACACTGCGTAGTGATGTGTGTGTTTAACTCACAGAGTTTAACCTTTCTTTTCATACAGCATTCTGGAAACCCTGTGTTTGTAAAGTCTGCAAGTGGATATTTGGACCTCTTAGATGCCTTCGTTGGAAACGGGATTTCTTCATATAATGCTAGAGGGAAGAATTCTTAGTAACTTCTTTGTGTTGTGTGTATTCAACTGACAGAGTTGAACCTTCCTTTAGACAGAGCAGATTTGAAAGTCTCTTTCTGTGGAATTTGCAAGTGGAGATTTCAAGCGCTTTGAGGCCAAAAGCAGAAAAGGAAGTATTTTCCTATAAAAACTCGACAGAATCTTTCTCAGAAACTGCTCTGGGATGTGTGCGTTCAACTCACAGAGTTTAACTTTTCTTTTCATTCAGCAGTTTGGAAACACTCTGTTTGGAAAGTCTGCACGTGGATATTTTGACCTCTTTGAGGCCTTCGTTGGAAACGGGTTTTTTTCATGTAAGGCTAGACAGAAGAAATCTCAGTAACTTCCTTGTGTTGTGTGTATTCAACTGACAGAGTTGAACCTTCCTTTAGACAGAGCAGATTCGAAACACTCTTTTTCTGCAATTTGCAAGTGGAGACTTCAAGCGCTTTGAGGCCAAAGGCAGAAAAGGAAATATCTTCGTATAAAAACCCGACAGAATCATTCTCAGAAACTGCTCTGTGATGTGTGCGTTCAACTCACAGAGTTTAACTTTTCTTTTTATTCAGCAGTTTGGAAACACTCTGTTTGTAAAGTCTGCAAGTGGATATCTTGGCCTCTTAGAGGCCTTCGTTGGAAACGGGTTTTTTCATGTAAGGTTAGACAGAGGAATTCCCAGTAACTTCCTTGTGTTGTGTGCATTCAACTCACAGAGTTGAATGATTCTTTACACAGAGCAGTTTTGAGACACTCTTTTGGTGGAATTTGTAAGTGGAGAATTCAGCCGCTTTGAGGTCAACGGTAGAAAAGGAAATATCTTCGTATAAAAACTAGACAGAATGATTCTCAGAAACTGTTTTGTGATGTGTGCGTTCAACTCACAGAGTTTAACCTTTCTTTTCAAAGAGCAGTTAGGAAACACTCTGTTTGTAAAGTCTGCAAGTGGATATTCAGACCTCTTTGAGGCCTTCGTTGGAAACGGGATTTCTTCATATTATGCTAGACAGATGAATTCTCAGTAACTTTCCTTGTGTTGTGTGTATTCAACTCACAGAGTTGAACGATCCTTTACACAGAGCAGATTTGAAACACTGTTTTTCTGGAATTTGCAAGTGGAGATTTCAGCCGCTTTGAGGTCAATGGTAGAAAAGGAAATATGCTTCGTATAAAAACTAGACAGAATGATTCTCAGAAACTCCTTTGTGATGTGTGCGTTCAACTCACAGAGTTTAACCTTTCTTTTCACAGAGCAGTTAGGAAACACTCTGTTTGTGAAGCCTGCCAGTGGATATTCGGACCTCTTTGAGGCCTTCGTTGGAAACGGGATTTCTTCATATTATGCTAGACAGAAGATTTCTCAGTAACTTCTTTGTGTTGTGTGTATGCAACTCACAGAGTTCAACCTTCCTTTAGACAGAGCAGATTTGAAACACTCTTTTTGTGGAATTTGCAAGTGGAGATTTCAAGCGCTTCGATGCCAATGGTAGAAAAGGAAATATCTTCGTATAAAAACAAGACAAACTCGTTCCCAGACACTGCGTAGTGATGTGTGTGTTTAACTCACAGAGTTTAACCTTTCTTTTCATACAGCATTCTGGAAACCCTGTGTTTGTAAAGTCTGCAAGTGGATATTTGGACCTCTTAGATGCCTTCGTTGGAAACGGGATTTCTTCATATAATGCTAGAGGGAAGAATTCTTAGTAACTTCTTTGTGTTGTGTGTATTCAACTGACAGAGTTGAACCTTCCTTTAGACAGAGCAGATTTGAAAGTCTCTTTTTGTGGAATTTGCAAGTGGAGATTTCAAGCGCTTTGAGGCCAAAAGCAGAAAAGGAAATATTTTCCTATAAAAACTCGACAGAATCTTTCTCAGAAACTGCTCTGGGATGTGTGCGTTCAACTCACAGAGTTTAACTTTTCTTTTCATTCAGCAGTTTGGAAACACTCTGTTTGGAAAGTCTGCACGTGGATATTTTGACCTCTTTGAGGCCTTCGTTGGAAACGGGTTTTTTTCATGTAAGGCTAGACAGAAGAAATCTCAGTAACTTCCTTGTGTTGTGTGTATTCAACTGACAGAGTTGAACCTTCCTTTAGACAGAGCAGATTCGAAACACTCTTTTTCTGCAATTTGCAAGTGGAGACTTCAAGCGCTTTGAGGCCAAAGGCAGAAAAGGAAATATCTTCGTATAAAAACCCGACAGAATCATTCTCAGAAACTGCTCTGTGATGTGTGCGTTCAACTCACAGAGTTTAACTTTTCTTTTCATTCAGCAGTTTGGAAACACTCTGTAAAGTCTGCAAGTGGATATCTTGGCCTCTTAGAGGCCTTCGTTGGAAGCGGGTTTTTTCATGTAAGGTTAGACAGAGGAATTCCCAGTAACTTCCTTGTGTTGTGTGCATTCAACTCACAGAGTTGAATGATTCTTTACACAGAGCAGATTTGAGACACTCTTTTGGTGGAATTTGTAAGTGGAGAATTCAGCCGCTTTGAGGTCAACGGTAGAAAAGGAAATATCTTCGTATAAAAACTAGACAGAATGATTCTCAGAAACTGTTTTGTGATGTGTGCGTTCAACTCACAGAGTTTAACCTTTCTTTTCAAAGAGCAGTTAGGAAACACTCTGTTTGTAAAGTCTGCAAGTGGATATTCAGACCTCTTTGAGGCCTTCGTTGGAAACGGGATTTCTTCATATTATGCTAGACAGATGAATTCTCAGTAACTTCCTTGTGTTGTGTGTATTCAACTCACAGAGTTGAACGATCCTTTACACAGAGCAGATTTGAAACACTGTTTTTCTGGAATTTGCAAGTGGAGATTTCAGCCGCTTTGAGGTCAATGGTAGAAAAGGAAATATCTTCGTATAAAAACTAGACAGAATGATTCTCAGAAACTCCTTTGTGATGTGTGCGTTCAACTCACAGGGTTTAACCTTTCTTTTCACAGAGCAGTTAGGAAACACTCTGTTTGTGAAGCCTGCCAGTGGATATTCGGACCTCTTTGAGGCCTTCGTTGGAAACGGGATTTCTTCATATTATGCTAGACAGAAGATTTCTCAGTAACTTCTTTGTGTTGTGTGTATGCAACTCACAGAGTTCAACCTTCCTTTAGACAGAGCAGATTTGAAACACTCTTTTTGTGGAATTTGCAAGTGGAGATTTCAAGCGCTTCGATGCCAATGGTAGAAAAGGAAATATCTTCGTATAAAAACAAGACAAACTCGTTCCCAGACACTGCGTAGTGATGTGTGTGTTTAACTCACAGAGTTTAACCTTTCTTTTCATACAGCATTCTGGAAACCCTGTGTTTGTAAAGTCTGCAAGTGGATATTTGGACCTCTTAGATGCCTTCGTTGGAAACGGGATTTCTTCATATAATGCTAGAGGGAAGAATTCTTAGTAACTTCTTTGTGTTGTGTGTATTCAACTGACAGAGTTGAACCTTCCTTTAGACAGAGCAGATTTGAAAGTCTCTTTTTGTGGAATTTGCAAGTGGAGATTTCAAGCGCTTTGAGGCCAAAAGCAGAAAAGGAAATATTTTCCTATAAAAACTAGACAGAATCTTTCTCAGAAACTGCTCTGGGATGTGTGCGTTCAACTCACAGAGTTTAACTTTTCTTTTCATTCAGCAGTTTGGAAACACTCTGTTTGGAAAGTCTGCACGTGGATATTTTGACCTCTTTGAGGCCTTCGTTGGAAACGGGTTTTTTTCATGTAAGCTAGACAGAAGAAATCTCAGTAACTTCCTTGTGTTGTGTGTATTCAACTGACAGAGTTGAACCTTCCTTTAGACAGAGCAGATTCGAAACACTCTTTTTCTGCAATTTGCAAGTGGAGACTTCAAGCGCTTTGAGGCCAAAGGCAGAAAAGGAAATATCTTCGTATAAAAACCCGACAGAATCATTCTCAGAAACTGCTCTGTGATGTGTGCGTTCAACTCACAGAGTTTAACTTTTCTTTTCATTCAGCAGTTTGGAAACACTCTGTTTGTAAAGTCTGCAAGTGGATATCTTGGCCTCTTAGAGGCCTTCGTTGGAAACGGGTTTTGTCATGTAAGGTTAGACAGAGGAATTCCCAGTAACTTCCTTGTGTTGTGTGCATTCAACTCACAGAGTTGAACGATTCTTTACACAGAGCAGATTTGAGACACTCTTTTGGTGGAATTTGTAAGTGGAGAATTCAGCCGCTTTGAGGTCAACGGTAGAAAAGGAAATATCTTCGTATAAAAACTAGACAGAATGATTCTCAGAAACTGTTTTGTGATGTGTGCGTTCAACTCACAGAGTTTAACCTTTCTTTTCAAAGAGCAGTTAGGAAACACTCTGTTTGTAAAGTCTGCAAGTGGATATTCAGACCTCTTTGAGGCCTTCGTTGGAAACGGGATTTCTTCATATTATGCTAGACAGATGAATTCTCAGTAACTTCCTTGTGTTGTGTGTATTCAACTCACAGAGTTAAACGATCCTTTACACAGAGCAGATTTGAAACACTGTTTTTCTGGAATTTGCAAGTGGAGATTTCAGCCGCTTTGACGTCAATGGTAGAAAAGGAAATATCTTCGTATAAAAACTAGACAGAATGATTCTCAGAAACTCCTTTGTGATGTGTGCGTTCAACTCACAGAGTTTAACCTTTCTTTTCACAGAGCAGTTAGGAAACACTCTGTTTGTGAAGCCTGCCAGTGGATATTCGGACCTCTTTGAGGCCTTCGTTGGAAACGGGATTTCTTCATATTATGCTAGACAGAAGATTTCTCAGTAACTTCTTTGTGTTGTGTGTATGCAACTCACAGAGTTCAACCTTCCTTTAGACAGAGCAGATTTGAAACACTCTTTTTGTGGAATTTGCAAGTGGAGATTTCAAGCGCTTCGATGCCAATGGTAGAAAAGGAAATATCTTCGTATAAAAACAAGACAAACTCGTTCCCAGACACTGCGTAGTGATGTGTGTGTTTAACTCACAGAGTTTCACCTTTCTTTTCATACAGCATTCTGGAAACCCTCTGTTTGTAAAGTCTGCAAGTGGATATTTGGACCTCTTAGATGCCTTCGTTGGAAACGGGATTTCTTCATATAATGCTAGAGGGAAGAATTCTTAGTAACTTCTTTGTGTTGTGTGTATTCAACTGACAGAGTTGAACCTTCCTTTAGACAGAGCAGATTTGAAAGTCTCTTTTTGTGGAATTTGCAAGTGGAGATTTCAAGCGCTTTGAGGCCAAAAGCAGAAAAGGAAATATTTTCCTATAAAAACTAGACAGAATCTTTCTCAGAAACTGCTCTGGGTTGTGTGTGTTCAACTCACAGAGTTTAACTTTTCTTTTCATTCAGCAGTTTGGAAACACTCTGTTTGGAAAGTCTGCACGTGGATATTTTGACCTCTTTGAGGCCTTCGTTGGAAACGGGTTTTTTTCATGTAAGGCTAGACAGAAGAAATCTCAGTAACTTCCTTGTGTTGTGTGTATTCAACTGACAGAGTTGAACCTTCTTTTAGACAGAGCAGATTCGAAACACTCTTTTTCTGCAATTTGCAAGTGGAGACTTCAAGCGCTTTGAGGCCAAAGGCAGAAAAGGAAATATCTTCGTATAAAAACCCGACAGAATCATTCTCAGAAACTGCTCTGTGATGTGTGCGTTCAACTCACAGAGTTTAACTTTTCTTTTCATTCAGCAGTTTGGAAACACTCTGTTTGTAAAGTCTGCAAGTGGATATCTTGGCCTCTTAGAGGCCTTCGTTGGAAACGGGTTTTTTCATGTAAGGATAGACAGAGGAATTCCCAGTAACTTCCTTGTGTTGTGTGCATTTAACTCACAGAGTTGAATGATTCTTTACACAGAGCAGATTTGAGACACTCTTTTGGTGGAATTTGTAAGTGGAGAATTCAGCCGCTTTGAGGTCAACGGTAGAAAAGGAAATATCTTCGTATAAAAACTAGACAGAATGATTCTCAGAAACTGTTTTGTGATGTGTGCGTTCAACTCACAGAGTTTAACCTTTCTTTTCAAAGAGCAGTTAGGAAACACTCTGTTTGTAAAGTCTGCAAGTGGATATTCAGACCTCTTTGAGGCCTTCGTTGGAAACGGGATTTCTTCATATTATGCTAGACAGATGAATTCTCAGTAACTTCCTTGTGTTGTGTGTATTCAACTCACAGAGTTGAACGATCCTTTACACAGAGCAGATTTGAAACACTGTTTTTCTGGAATTTGCAAGTGGAGATTTCAGCCGCTTTGAGGTCAATGGTAGAAAAGGAAATATCTTCGTATAAAAACTAGACAGAATGATTCTCAGAAACTCCTTTGTGATGTGTGCGTTCAACTCACAGAGTTTAACCTTTCTTTTCACAGAGCAGTTAGGAAACACTCTGTTTGTGAAGCCTGCCAGTGGATATTCGGACCTCTTTGAGGCCTTCGTTGGAAACGGGATTTCTTCATATTATGCTAGACAGAAGATTTCTCAGTAACTTCTTTGTGTTGTGTGTATGCAACTCACAGAGTTCAACCTTCCTTTAGACAGAGCAGATTTGAAACACTCTTTTTGTGGAATTTGCAAGTGGAGATTTCAAGCGCTTCGATGCCAATGGTAGAAAAGGAAATATCTTCGTATAAAAACAAGACAAACTCGTTCCCAGACACTGCGTAGTGATGTGTGTGTTTAACTCACAGAGTTTAACCTTTCTTTTCATACAGCATTCTGGAAACCCTGTGTTTGTAAAGTCTGCAAGTGGATATTTGGACCTCTTAGATGCCTTCGTTGGAAACGGGATTTCTTCATATAATGCTAGAGGGAAGAATTCTTAGTAACTTCTTTGTGTTGTGTGTATTCAACTGACAGAGTTGAACCTTCCTTTAGACAGAGCAGATTTGAAAGTCTCTTTTTGTGGAATTTGCAAGTGGAGATTTCAAGCGCTTTGAGGCCAAAAGCAGAAAAGGAAATATTTTCCTATAAAAACTCGACAGAATCTTTCTCAGAAACTGCTCTGGGATGTGTGCGTTCAACTCACAGAGTTTAACTTTTCTTTTCATTCAGCAGTTTGGAAACACTCTGTTTGGAAAGTCTGCACGTGGATATTTTGACCTCTTTGAGGCCTTCGTTGGAAACGGGTTTTTTTCATGTAAGGCTAGACAGAAGAAATCTCAGTAACTTCCTTGTGTTGTGTGTATTCAACTGACAGAGTTGAACCTTCCTTTAGACAGAGCAGATTCGAAACACTCTTTTTCTGCAATTTGCAAGTGGAGACTTCAAGCGCTTTGAGGCCAAAGGCAGAAAAGGAAATATCTTCGTATAAAAACCCGACAGAATCATTCTCAGAAACTGCTCTGTGATGTGTGCGTTCAACTCACAGAGTTTAACTTTTCTTTTCATTCAGCAGTTTGGAAACACTCTGTTTGTAAAGTCTGCATGTGGATATCTTGGCCTCTTAGAGGCCTTCGTTGGAAACGGGTTTTTTCATGTAAGGATAGACAGAGGAATTCCCAGTAACTTCCTTGTGTTGTGTGCATTCAACTCACAGAGTTGAATGATTCTTTACACAGAGCAGATTTGAGACACTGTTGGTGGAATTTGTAAGTGGAGAATTCAGCCGCTTTGAGGTCAATGGTAGAAAAGGAAATATCTTCGTATAAAAACTAGACAGAATGATTCTCAGAAACTGTTTTGTGATGTGTGCGTTCAACTCACAGAGTTTAACCTTTCTTTTCAAAGAGCAGTTAGGAAACACTCTGTTTGTAAAGTCTGCAAGCGGATATTCAGACCTCTTTGAGGCCTTCGTTGGAAACGGGATTTCTTCATATTATGCTAGACAGAAGAATTCTCAGTAACTTCCTTGTGTTGTGTACTTTCAACTCACAGAGTTGAACGATCCTTTACACAGAGCAGATTAGAAACACTCTTTTTGTGGAATTTGCAGGTGGAGATTTCAGCCGCTTTGAGGTCAATGGTAGAAAAGGAAATATGGTCGTATAAAAACTAGACAGAATGATTCTCAGAAACTCCTTTGTGATGTGTGCTTTCAACTCACAGAGTTTAACCTTTCTTTTCATAGAGTAGTTAGGAAACACTCTGTTTGTGAAGTCTGCCAGTGGATATTCAGACCTCTTTGAGGCCTTCCTTGGAAACGGGATTTCTTCATATTATGCTAGACAGAAGAATTCTCAATAACTTCCTTGTGTTGTGTGCTTTCAACTCACAGAGTTGAACGATCCTTTACACAGAGCAGATTAGAAACACTCTTTTTGTGGAATTTGCAAGTGGAGATTTCAGCCGCTTTGAGGTCAATGGTAGAAAAGGAAATATCTTCGTATAAAAACTAGACAGAATGATTCTCAGAAACTCCTTTGTGATGTGTGCGTTCAACTCACAGAGTTTAACCTTTCTTTTCATAGAGTAGTTAGGAAACACTCTGTTTGTGAAGTCTGCCAGTGGATATTCAGACCTCTTTGAGGCCTTCGTTGGAAACGGGGTTTCTTCATATTATGCTAGACAGAAGATTTCTCAGTAACTTCTTTGTGTTGTGTGTATGCAACTCACAGAGTTCAACCTTCCTTTAGACAGAGCAGATTTGAAACACTCTTTTTGTGGAATTTGCAAGTGGAGATTTCAAGCGCTTCGATGCCAATGGTAGAAAAGGAAATATCTTCGTATAAAAACAAGACAAACTCGTTCCCAGACACTGCGTAGTGATGTGTGTGTTTAACTCACAGAGTTTCACCTTTCTTTTCATACAGCATTCTGGAAACCGTGTGTTTGTAAAGTCTGCAAGTGGATATTTGGACCTCTTAGATGCCTTCGTTGGAAACGGGATTTCTTCATATAATGCTAGAGGGAAGAATTCTTAGTAACTTCTTTGTGTTGTGTGTATTCAACTGACAGAGTTGAACCTTCCTTTAGACAGAGCAGATTTGAAAGTCTCTTTTTGTGGAATTTGCAAGTGGAGATTTCAAGCGCTTTGAGGCCGAAAGCAGAAAAGGAAATATTTTCCTATAAAAACTCGACAGAATCTTTCTCAGAAACTGCTCTGGGATGTGTGCGTTCAACTCACAGAGTTTAACTTTTCTTTTCATTCAGCAGTTTGGAAACACTCTGTTTGGAAAGTCTGCACGTGGATATTTTGACCTCTTTGAGGCCTTCGTTGGAAACGGGTTTTTTTCATGTAAGGCTAGACAGAAGAAATCTCAGTAACTTCCTTGTGTTGTGTGTATTCAACTGACAGAGTTGAACCTTCCTTTAGACAGAGCAGATTCGAAACACTCTTTTTCTGCAATTTGCAAGTGGAGACTTCAAGCGCTTTGAGGCCAAAGGCAGAAAAGGAAATATCTTCGTATAAAAACCCGACAGAATCATTCTCAGAAACTGCTCTGTGATGTGTGCGTTCAACTCACAGAGTTTAACTTTTCTTTTCATTCAGCAGTTTGGAAACACTCTGTTTGTAAATTCTGCAAGTGGATATCTTGGCCTCTTAGAGGCCTTCGTTGGAAACGGGTTTTTTCATGTAAGGTTAGACAGAGGAATTCCCAGTAACTTCCTTGTGTTGTGTGCATTCAACTCACAGAGTTGAATGATTCTTTACACAGAGCAGATTTGAGACACTCTTTTGGTGGAATTTGTAAGTGGAGAATTCAGCCGCTTTGAGGTCAACGGTAGAAAAGGAAATATCTTCGTATAAAAACTAGACAGAATGATTCTCAGAAACTGTTTTGTGATGTGTGCTTTCAACTCACAGAGTTTAACCTTTCTTTTCAAAGAGCAGTTAGGAAACACTCTGTTTGTAAAGTCTGCAAGTGGATATTCAGACCTCTTTGAGGCCTTCGTTGGAAACGGGATTTCTTCATATTATGCTAGACAGATGAATTCTCAGTAACTTCCTTGTGTTGTGTGTATTCAACTCACAGAGTTGAACGATCCTTTACACAGAGCAGATTTGAAACACTGTTTTTCTGGAATTTGCAAGTGGAGATTTCAGCCGCTTTGAGGTCAATGGTAGAAAAGGAAATATCTTCGTATAAAAACTAGACAGAATGATTCTCAGAAACTCCTTTGTGATGTGTGCGTTCAACTCACAGAGTTTAACCTTTCTTTTCACAGAGCAGTTAGGAAACACTCTGTTTGTGAAGCCTGCCAGTGGATATTCGGACCTCTTTGAGGCCTTCGTTGGAAACGGGATTTCTTCATATTATGCTAGACAGAAGATTTCTCAGTAACTTCTTTGTGTTGTGTGTATGCAACTCACAGAGTTCAACCTTCCTTTAGAGAGAGCATATTTGAAACACTCTTTTTGTGGAATTTGCAAGTGGAGATTTCAAGCGCTTCGATGCCAATGGTAGAAAAGGAAATATCTTCGTATAAAAACAAGACAAACTCGTTCCCAGACACTGCGTAGTGATGTGTGTGTTTAACTCACAGAGTTTCACCTTTCTTTTCATACAGCATTCTGGAAACCCTGTGTTTGTAAAGTCTGCAAGTGGATATTTGGACCTCTTAGATGCCTTCGTTGGAAACGGGATTTCTTCATATAATGCTAGAGGGAAGAATTCTTAGTAACTTCTTTGTGTTGTGTGTATTCAACTGACAGAGTTGAACCTTCCTTTAGACAGAGCAGATTTGAAAGTCTCTTTTTGTGGAATTTGCAAGTGGAGATTTCAAGCGCTTTGAGGCCAAAAGCAGAAAAGGAAGTATTTTCCTATAAAAACTAGACAGAATCTTTCTCAGAAACTGCTGTGGGATGTGTGCGTTCAACTCACAGAGTTTAACTTTTCTTTTCATTCAGCAGTTTGGAAACACTCTGTTTGGAAAGTCTGCACGTGGATATTTTGACCTCTTTGAGGCCTTCGTTGGAAACGGGTTTTTTTCATGTAAGGCTAGACAGAAGAAATCTCAGTAACTTCCTTGTGTTGTGTGTATTCAACTGACAGAGTTGAACCTTCCTTTAGACAGAGCAGATTCGAAACACTCTTTTTCTGCAATTTGCAAGTGGAGACTTCAAGCGCTTTGAGGCCAAAGGCAGAAAAGGAAATATCTTCGTATAAAAACCCGACAGAATCATTCTCAGAAACTGCTCTGTGATGTGTGCGTTCAACTCACAGAGTTTAACTTTTCTTTTCATTCAGCAGTTTGGAAACACTCTGTTTGTAAAGTCTGCAAGTGGATATCTTGGCCTCTTAGAGGCCTTCGTTGGAAACGGGTTTTTTCATGTAAGGATAGACAGAGGAATTCCCAGTAACTTCCTTGTGTTGTGTGCATTCAACTCACAGAGTTGAATGATTCTTTACACAGAGCACATTTGAGACACTCTTTTGGTGGAATTTGTAAGTGGAGAATTCAGCCGCTTTGAGGTCAACGGTAGAAAAGGAAATATCTTCGTATAAAAACTAGACAGAATGATTCTCAGAAACTGTTTTGTGATGTGTGCGTTCAACTCACAGAGTTTAACCTTTCTTTTCAAAGAGCAGTTAGGAAACACTCTGTTTGTAAAGTCTGCAAGTGGATATTCAGACCTCTTTGAGGCCTTCGTTGGAAACGGGATTTCTTCATATTATGCTAGACAGATGAATTCTCAGTAACTTCTTTGTGTTGTGTGTATTCAACTCACAGAGTTGAACGATCCTTTACACAGAGCAGATTTGAAACACTGTTTTTCTGGAATTTGCAAGTGGAGATTTCAGCCGCTTTGAGGTCAATGGTAGAAAAGGAAATATCTTCGTATAAAAACTAGACAGAATGATTCTCAGAAACTCCTTTGTGATGTGTGCGTTCAACTCACAGAGTTTAACCTTTCTTTTCACAGAGCAGTTAGGAAACACTCTGTTTGTGAAGCCTGCCAGTGGATAATCGGACCTCTTTGAGGCCTTCGTTGGAAACGGGATTTCTTCATATTATGCTAGACAGAAGATTTCTCAGTAACTTCTTTGTGTTGTGTGTATGCAACTCACAGAGTTCAACCTTCCTTTAGACAGAGCAGATTTGAAACACTCTTTTTGTGGAATTTGCAAGTGGAGATTTCAAGCGCTTCGATGCCAATGGTAGAAAAGGAAATATCTTCGTATAAAAACAAGACAAACTCGTTCCCAGACACTTCGTAGTGATGTGTGTGTTTAACTCACAGAGTTTAACCTTTCTTTTCATACAGCATTCTGGAAACCCTGTGTTTGTAAAGTCTGCAAGTGGATATTTGGACCTCTTAGATGCCTTCGTTGGAAACGGGATTTCTTCATATAATGCTAGAGGGAAGAATTCTTAATAACTTCTTTGTGTTGTGTGTATTCAACTGACAGAGTTGAACCTTCCTTTAGACAGAGCAGATTTGAAAGTCTCTTTTTGTGGAATTTGCAAGTGGAGATTTCAAGCGCTTTGAGGCCAAAAGCAGAAAAGGAAATATTTTCCTATAAAAACTCGACAGAATCATTCTCAGAAACTGCTCTGTGATGTGTGTGTTCAACTCACAGAGTTTAACTTTCTTTTCATTCAGCAGTTTGGAAACACTCTGTTTGGAAAGTCTGCACGTGGATATTTTGACCTCTTTGAGGCCTTCGTTGGAAACGGGTTTTTTTCATGTAAGGCTAGACAGAAGAAATCTCAGTAACTTCCTTGTGTTGTGTGTATTTAACTGACAGAGTTGAACCTTCCTTTAGACAGAGCAGATTCGAAACGCTCTTTTTCTGCAATTTGCAAGTGGAGACTTCAAGCGCTTTGAGGCCAAGGCAGAAAAGGAAATATCTTCGTATAAAAACCCGACAGAATCATTCTCAGAAACTGCTCTGTGATGTGTGCGTTCAACTCACAGAGTTTAACTTTTCTTTTCATTCAGCAGTTTGGAAACACTCTGTTTGTAAAGTCTGCAAGTGGATATCTTGGCCTCTTAGAGGCCTTCGTTGGAAACGCGTTTTTTCATGTAAGGTTAGACAGAGGAATTCCCAGTAACTTCCTTGTGTTGTGTGCATTCAACTCACAGAGTTGAATGATTCTTTACACAGAGCAGATTTGAGACACTCTTTTGGTGGAATTTGTAAGTGGAGAATTCAGCCGCTTTGAGGTCAACGGTAGAAAAGGAAATATCTTCGTATAAAAACTAGAAAGAATGATTCTCAGAAACTGTTTTGTTATGTGTGCGTTCAACTCACAGAGTTTAACCTTTCTTTTCAAAGAGCAGTTAGGAAACACTCTGTTTGTGAAGTCTGCCAGTGGATATTCGGACCTCTTTGAGGCCTTCCTTGGAAACGGGATTTCTTCATATTATGCTAGACAGATTTCTCAGTAACTACTTTGTGTTATGTGTATGCAACTCACAGAGTTCATCCTTCCTTTAGACAGAGCAGATTTGAAACACTCTTTTTGTGGAATTTGCAAGTGGAGATTTCAAGCGCTTCGACGCCAATGGTCGAAAAGGAAATATCTTCGTATAAAAACAAGACAAAATCATTCCCAGAAACTGCGTAGTGATGTGTGTGTTTAACTCACAGAGTTTCACCTTTCTTTTCATACAGCATTCTGGAAACCCTCTGTTTGTAAAGTCTGCAAGTGGATATTTGGACCTCTTAGATGCCTTCGTTGCAAACGGGATTTCTTCATATAATGCTAGAGGGAAGAATTCTTAGTAACTTCTTTGTGTTGTGTGTATTCAACTGACAGAGTTGAACCTTCCTTTAGACAGACCAGATTTGAAAGTCTCTTTTTGTGGAATTTGCAAGTGGAGATTTCAAGCGCTTTGAGGCCAAAAGCAGAAAAGGAAATATTTTCCTATAAAAACTAGACAGAATCTTTCTCAGAAACTGCTCTGGGATGTGTGCGTTCAACTCACAGAGTTTAACTTTTCTTTTCATTCAGCAGTTTGGAAACACTCTGTTTGGAAAGTCTGCACGTGGATATTTTGACCTCTTTGAGGCCTTCGTTGGAAACGGGTTTTTTTCATGTAAGGCTAGACAGAAGAAATCTCAGTAACTTCCTTGTGTTGTGTGTATTCAACTGACAGAGTTGAACCTTCCTTTAGACAGAGCAGATTCGAAACACTCTTTTTCTGCAATTAGCAAGTGGAGACTTCAAGCGCTTTGAGGCCAAAGGCAGAAAAGGAAATATCTTCGTATAAAAACCCGACAGAATCATTCTCAGAAACTGCTCTGTGATGTGTGCGTTCAACTCACAGAGTTTAACTTTTCTTTTCATTCAGCAGTTTGGAAACACTCTGTTTGTAAAGTCTGCAAGTGGATATCTTGGCCTCTTAGAGGCCTTCGTTGGAAACGGGTTTTTTCATGTAAGGTTAGACAGAGGAATTCCCAGTAACTTCCTTGTGTTGTGTGCACTCAACTCACAGAGTTGAATGATTCTTTACACAGAGCAGATTTGAGACACTCTTTGGGTGGAATTTGTAAGTGGAGAATTCAGCTGCTTTGAGGTCAACGGTAGAAAAGGAAATATCTTCGTATAAAAACTAGACAGAATGATTCTCAGAAACTGTTTTGTGATGTGTGCTTTCAACTCACAGAGTTTAACCTTTCTTTTCAAAGAGCAGTTAGGAAACACTCTGTTTGTAAAGTCTGCAAGTGGATATTCAGACCTCTTTGAGGCCTTCGTTGGAAACGGGATTTCTTCATATTATGCTAGACAGATGAATTCTCAGTAACTTCCTTGTGTTGTGTGTATTCAACTCACAGAGTTGAACGATCCTTTACACAGAGCAGATTTGAAACACTGTTTTTCTGGAATTTGCAAGTGGAGATTTCAGCCGCTTTGAGGTCAATGGTAGAAAAGGAAATATCTTCGTATAAAAACTAGACAGAATGATTCTCAGAAACTCCTTTGTGATGTGTGCGTTCAACTCACAGAGTTTAACCTTTCTTTTCACAGAGCAGTTAGGAAACACTCTGTTTGTGAAGCCTGCCAGTGGATATTCGGACCTCTTTGAGGCCTTCGTTGGAAACGGGATTTCTTCATATTATGCTAGACAAAAGATTTCTCAGTAACTTCTTTGTGTTGTGTATATGCAACTCACAGAGTTCAACCTTCCTTTAGACAGAGCAGATTTGAAACACTCTTTTTGTGGAATTTGCAAGTGGAGATTTCAAGCGCTTCGATGCCAATGGTAGAAAAGGAAATATCTTCGTATAAAAACAAGACAAACTCGTTCCCAGACACTGCGTAGTGATGTGTGTGTTTAACTCACAGAGTTTAACCTTTCTTTTCATACAGCATTCTGGAAACCCTGTGTTTGTAAAGTCTGCAAGTGGATATTTGGACCTCTTAGATGCCTTCGGTTGGAAACGGGATTTCTTCATATAATGCTAGAGGGAAGAATTCTTAGTAACTTCTTTGTGTTGTGTGTATTCAACTGACAGAGTTGAACCTTCCTTTAGACAGAGCAGATTTGAAAGTCTCTTTTTGTGGAATTTGCAAGTGGAGATTTCAAGCGCTTTGAGGCCAAAAGCAGAAAAGGAAATATTTTCCTATAAAAACTCGACAGAATCTTTCTCAGAAACTGCTCTGGGATGTGTGCGTTCAACTCACAGAGTTTAACTTTTCTTTTCATTCAGCAGTTTGGAAACACTCTGTTTGGAAAGTCTGCACGTGGATATTTTGACCTCTTTGAGGCCTTCGTTGGAAACGGGTTTTTTTCATGTAAGGCTAGACAGAAGAAATCTCAGTAACTTCCTTGTGTTGTGTGTATTCAACTGACAGAGTTGAACCTTCCTTTAGACAGAGCAGATTCGAAACACTCTTTTTCTGCAATTTGCAAGTGGAGACTTCAAGCGCTTTGAGGCCAAAGGCAGAAAAGGAAATATCTTCGTATAAAAACCCGACAGAATCATTCTCAGAAACTGCTCTGTGATGTGTGCGTTCAACTCACAGAGTTTAACTTTTCTTTTCATTCAGCAGTTTGGAAACACTCTGTTTGTAAAGTCTGCAAGTGGATATCTTGGCCTCTTAGAGGCCTTCGTTGGAAACGGGTTTTTTCATGTAAGGTTAGACAGAGGAATTCCCAGTAACTTCCTTGTGTTGTGTGCATTCAACTCACAGAGGTGAATGATTCTTTACACAGAGCAGATTTGAGACACTCTTTGGGTGGAATTTGTAAGTGGAGAATTCAGCCGCTTTGAGGTCAACGGTAGAAAAGGAAATACCTTCGTATAAAAACTAGACAGAATGATTCTCAGAAACTGTTTTGTGATGTGTGCGTTCAACTCACAGAGTTTAACCTTTCTTTTCAAAGAGCAGTTAGGAAACACTCTGTAAAATCTGCAAGTGGATATTCAGACCTCTTTGAGGCCTTCGTTGGAAACGGGATTTCTTCATATAATGCTAGAGGGATGAATTCTCAGTAACTTCCTTGTGTTGTGTGTATTCAACTCACAGAGTTGAACGATCCTTTACACAGAGCAGATTTGAAACACTGTTTTTCTGGAATTTGCAAGTGGAGATTTCAGCCGCTTTGAGGTCAATGGTAGAAAAGGAAATATCTTCGTATAAAAACTAGACAGAATGATTCTCAGAAACTCCTTTGTGATGTGTGCGTTCAACTCACAGAGTTTAACCTTTCTTTTCACAGAGCAGTTAGGAAACACTCTGTTTGTGAAGCCTGCCAGTGGATATTCGGACCTCTTTCAGGCCTTCGTTGGAAACGGGATTTCTTCATATTTTGCTAGACAGAAGATTTCTCAGTAACTTCTTTGTGTTGTGTGTATGCAACTCACAGAGTTCAACCTTCCTTTAGACAGAGCAGATTTGAAACACTCTTTTTGTGGAATTTGCAAGTGGAGATTTCAAGCGCTTCGATGCCAATGGTAGAAAAGGAAATATCTTCGTATAAAAACAAGACAAACTCGTTCCCAGACACTGCGTAGTGATGTGTGTGTTTAACTCACAGAGTTTAACCTTTCTTTTCATACAGCATTCTGGAAACCCTCTGTTTGTAAAGTCTGCAAGTGGATATTTGGACCTCTTAGATGCCTTCGTTGGAAACGGGATTTCTTCATATAATGCTAGAGGGAAGAATTCTTAGTAACTTCTTTGTGTTGTGTGTATTCAACTGACAGAGTTGAACCTTCCTTTAGACAGACCAGATTTGAAAGTCTCTTTTTGTGGAATTTGCAAGTGGAGATTTCAAGCGCTTTGAGGCCAAAAGCAGAAAAGGAAATATTTTCCTATAAAAACTAGACAGAATCTTTCTCAGAAACTGCTCTGGGATGTGTGCATTCAACTCACAGAGTTTAACTTTTCTTTTCATTCAGCAGTTTGGAAACACTCTGTTTGGAAAGTCTGCACGTGGATATTTTGACCTCTTTGAGGCCTTCGTTGGAAACGGGTTTTTTTCATGTAAGGCTAGACAGAAGAAATCTCAGTAACTTCCTTGTGTTGTGTGTATTCAACTGACAGAGTTGAACCTTCTTTTAGACAGAGCAGATTCGAAACACTCTTTTTCTGCAATTTGCAAGTGGAGACTTCAAGCGCTTTGAGGCCAAAGGCAGAAAAGGAAATATCTTCGTATAAAAACCCGACAGAATCATTCTCAGAAACTGCTCTGTGATGTGTGCGTTCAACTCACAGAGTTTAACTTTTCTTTTCATTCAGCAGTTTGGAAACACTCTGTTTGTAAAGTCTGCAAGTGGATATCTTGGCCTCTTAGAGGCCTTCGTTGGAAACGCGTTTTTTCATGTAAGGTTAGACAGAGGAATTCCCAGTAACTTCCTTGTGTTGTGTGCATTCAACTCACAGAGTTGAATGATTCTTTACACAGAGCAGATTTGAGACACTCTTTTGGTGGAATTTGTAAGTGGAGAATTCAGCCGCTTTGAGGTCAACGGTAGAAAAGGAAATATCTTCGTATAAAAACTAGACAGAATGATTCTCAGAAACTGTTTTGTGATGTGTGCGTTCAACTCACAGAGTTTAACCTTTCTTTTCAAAGAGCAGTTAGGAAACACTCTGTTTGTAAAGTCTGCAAGTGGATATTCAGACCTACTTTGAGGCCTTCGTTGGAAACGGGATTTCTTCATATTATGCTAGACAGATGAATTCTCAGTAACTTCCTTGTGTTGTGTGTATTCAACTCACAGAGTTGAACGATCCTTTACACAGAGCAGATTTGAAACACTGTTTTTCTGGAATTTGCAAGTGGAGATTTCAGCCGCTTTGAGGTCAATGGTAGAAAAAGAAATATCTTCGTATAAAAACTAGACAGAATGATTCTCAGAAACTCCTTTGTGATGTGTGCGTTCAACTCACAGAGTTTAACCTTTCTTTTCACAGAGCAGTTAGGAAACACTCTGTTTGTGAAGCCTGCCAGTGGATATTCGGACCTCTTTGAGGCCTTCGTTGGAAACGGGATTTCTTCATATTATGCTAGACAGAAGATTTCTCAGTAACTTCTTTGTGTTGTGTGTATACAACTCACAGAGTTCAACCTTCCTTTAGACAGAGCAGATTTGAAACACTCTTTTTGTGGAATTTGCAAGAGGAGATTTCAAGCGCTTTGAGGCCAAAAGCAGAAAAGGAAATATTTTCCTATAAAAACTAGACAGAATCTTTCTCAGAAACTGCTCTGTGATGTGTGCGTTCAACTCACAGAGTTTAACTTTTCTTTTCATTCAGCAGTTTGGAAACACTCTGTTTGTAAAGTCTGCAAGTGGATATCTTGGCCTCTTAGAGGCCTTCGTTGGAAACGGGTTTTTTCATGTAAGGATAGACAGAGGAATTCCCAGTAACTTCCTTGTGTTGTGTGCATTCAACTCACAGAGTTGAATGATTCTTTACACAGAGCAGATTTGAGACACTCTTTTGGTGGAATTTGTAAGTGGAGAATTCAGCCGCTTTGAGGTCAACGGTAGAAAAGGAAATATCTTCGTATAAAAACTAGACAGAATGATTCTCAGAAACTGTTTTGTGATGTGTGCGTTCAACTCACAGAGTTTAACCTTTCTTTTCAAAGAGCAGTTAGGAAACACTCTGTAAAGTCTGCAAGTGGATATTCAGACCTCTTTGAGGCCTTCGTTGGAAACGGGATTTCTTCATATCATGCTAGACAGATGAATTCTCAGTAACTTCCTTGTGTTGTGTGTATTCAACTCACAGAGTTGAACGATCCTTTACACAGAGCAGATTTGAAACACTGTTTTTCTGGAATTTGCAAGTGGAGATTTCAGCCGCTTTGAGGTCAATGGTAGAAAAGGAAATATCTTCGTATAAAAACTAGACAGAATGATTCTCAGAAACTCCTTTGTGATGTGTGCGTTCAACTCACAGAGTTTAACCTTTCTTTTCACAGAGCAGTTAGGAAACACTCTGTTTGTGAAGCCTGCCAGTGGATATTCGGACCTCTTTGAGGCCTTCGTTGGAAACGGGATTTCTTCATATTTTGCAAGACAGAAGATTTCTCAGTAACTTCTTTGTGTTGTGTGTATGCAACTCACAGAGTTCAACCTTCCTTTAGACAGAGCAGATTTGAAACACTCTTTTTGTGGAATTTGCAAGTGGAGATTTCAAGCGCTTCGATGCCAATGGTAGAAAAGGAAATATCTTCGTATAAAAACAAGACAAACTCGTTCCCAGACACTGCGTAGTGATGTGTGTGTTTAACTCACAGAGTTTAACCTTTCTTTTCATACAGCATTCTGGAAACCCTGTGTTTGTAAAGTCTGCAAGTGGATATTTGGACCTCTTAGATGCCTTCGGTTGGAAACGGGATTTCTTCATATAATGCTAGAGGGAAGAATTCTTAGTAACTTCTTTGTGTTGTGTGTATTCAACTGACAGAGTTGAACCTTCCTTTAGACAGAGCAGATTTGAAAGTCTCTTTTTGTGGAATTTGCAAGTGGAGATTTCAAGCGCTTTGAGGCCAAAAGCAGAAAAGGAAATATTTTCCTATAAAAACTCGACAGAATCTTTCTCAGAAACTGCTCTGGGATGTGTGCGTTCAACTCACAGAGTTTAACTTTTCTTTTCATTCAGCAGTTTGGAAACACTCTGTTTGGAAAGTCTGCACGTGGATATTTTGACCTCTTTGAGGCCTTCGTTGGAAACGGGTTTTTTTCATGTAAGGCTAGACAGAAGAAATCTCAGTAACTTCCTTGTGTTGTGTGTATTCAACTGACAGAGTTGAACCTTCCTTTAGACAGAGCAGATTCGAAACACTCTTTTTCTGCAATTTGCAAGTGGAGACTTCAAGCGCTTTGAGGCCAAAGGCAGAAAAGGAAATATCTTCGTATAAAAACCCGACAGAATCATTCTCAGAAACTGCTCTGTGATGTGTGCGTTCAACTCACAGAGTTTAACTTTTCTTTTCATTCAGCAGTTTGGAAACACTCTGTTTGTAAAGTCTGCAAGTGGATATCTTGGCCTCTTAGAGGCCTTCGTTGGAAACGGGTTTTTTCATGTAAGGTTAGACAGAGGAATTCCCAGTAACTTCCTTGTGTTGTGTGCATTCAACTCACAGAGTTGAATGATTCTTTACACAGAGCAGATTTGAGACACTCTTTTGGTGGAATTTGTAAGTGGAGAATTCAGCCGCTTTGAGGTCAACGGTAGAAGAGGAAATATCTTCGTATAAAAACTAGACAGAATGATTCTCAGAAACTGTTTTGTGATGTGTGCGTTCAACTCACAGAGTTTAACCTTTCTTTTCAAAGAGCAGTTAGGAAACACTCTGTTTGTAAAGTCTGCAAGTGGATATTCAGACCTCTTTGAGGCCTTCGTTGGAAACGGGATTTCTTCATATTATGCTAGACAGATGAATTCTCAGTAACTTCCTTGTGTTGTGTGTATTCAACTCACCGAGTTAAACGATCCTTTACACAGAGCAGATTTGAAACACTGTTTTTCTGGAATTTGCAAGTGGAGATTTCAGCCGCTTTGAGGTCAATGGTAGAAAAGGAAATATCTTCGTATAAAAACTAGACAGAATGATTCTCAGAAACTCCTTTGTGATGTGTGCGTTCAACTCACAGAGTTTAACCTTTCTTTTCACAGAGCAGTTAGGAAACACTCTGTTTGTGAAGCCTGCCAGTGGATATTCGGACCTCCTTTGAGGCCTTCGTTGGAAACGGGATTTCTTCATATTATGCTAGACAGAAGATTTCTCAGTAACTTCTTTGGGTTGTGTGTATGCAACTCACAGAGTTCAACCTTCCTTTAGAGAGAGCATATTTGAAACACTCTTTTTGTGGAATTTGCAAGTGGAGATTTCAAGCGCTTCGATGCCAATGGTAGAAAAGGAAATATCTTCGTATAAAAACAAGACAAACTCGTTCCCAGACACTGCGTAGTGATGTGTGTGTTTAACTCACAGAGTTTAACCTTTCTTTTCATACAGCATTCTGGAAACCCTCTGTTTGTAAAGTCTGCAAGTGGATATTTGGACCTCTTAGATGCCTTCGTTGGAAACGGGATTTCTTCATATAATGCTAGAGGGAAGATTTCTCAGTAACTTCTTTGTGTTGTGTGTATGCAACTCACAGAGTTCAACCTTCCTTTAGACAGAGCAGATTTGAAACACTCTTTTTGTGGAATTTGCAAGTGGAGATTTCAAGCGCTTTGAGGCCAAAAGCAGAAAAGGAAATATTTTCCTATAAAAACTAGACAGAATCTTTCTCAGAAACTGCTCTGTGATGTGTGCGTTCAACTCACAGAGTTTAACTTTTCTTTTCATTCAGCAGTTTGGAAACACTCTGTTTGTAAAGTCTGCAAGTGGATATCTTGGCCTCTTAGAGGCCTTCGTTGGAAACGGGTTTTTTCATGTAAGGATAGACAGAGGAATTCCCAGTAACTTCCTTGTGTTGTGTGCATTCAACTCACAGAGTTGAATGATTCTTTTCACAGAGCAGATTTGAGACACTCTTTTGGTGGAATTTGTAAGTGGAGAATTCAGCCGCTTTGAGGTCAACGGTAGAAAAGGAAATATCTTCGTATAAAAACTAGACAGAATGATTCTCAGAAACTGTTTTGTGATGTGTGCGTTCAACTCACAGAGTTTAACCTTTCTTTTCAAAGAGCAGTTAGGAAACACTCTGTTTGTAAAGTCTGCAAGTGGATATTCAGACCTCTTTGAGGCCTTCGTTGGAAACGGGATTTCTTCATATTATGCTAGACAGATGAATTCTCAGTAACTTCCTTGTGTTGTGTGTATTCAACTCACAGAGTTGAACGATCCTTTACACAGAGCAGATTTGAAACACTGTTTTTCTGGAATTTGCAAGTGGAGATTTCAGCCGCTTTGAGGTCAATGGTAGAAAAAGAAATATCTTCGTATAAAAACTAGACAGAATGATTCTCAGAAACTCCTTTGTGATGTGTGCGTTCAACTCACAGAGTTTAACCTTTCTTTTCACAGAGCAGTTAGGAAACACTCTGTTTGTGAAGCCTGCCAGTGGATATTCGGACCTCTTTGAGGCCTTCGTTGGAAACGGGATTTCTTCATATTATGCTAGACAGAAGATTTCTCAGTAACTTCTTTGTGTTGTGTGTATGCAACTCACAGAGTTCAACCTTCCTTTAGACAGAGCAGATTTGAAACACTCTTTTTGTGGAATTTGCAAGTGGAGATTTCAAGCGCTTCGATGCCAATGGTAGAAAAGGAAATATCTTCGTATAAAAACAAGACAAACTCGTTCCCAGACACTGCGTAGTGATGTGTGTGTTTAACTCACAGAGTTTCACCTTTCTTTTCATACAGCATTCTGGAAACCCTCTGTTTGTAAAGTCTGCAAGTGGATATTTGGACCTCTTAGATGCCTTCGTTGCAAACGGGATTTCTTCATATAATGCTAGAGGGAAGAATTCTTAGTAACTTCTTTGTGTTGTGTGTATTCAACTGACAGAGTTGAACCTTCCTTTAGACAGAGCAGATTTGAAAGTCTCTTTTTGTGGAATTTGCAAGTGGAGATTTCAAGCGCTTTGAGGCCAAAAGCAGAAAAGGAAATATTTTCCTATAAAAACTCGACAGAATCTTTCTCAGAAACTGCTCTGGGATGTGTGCGTTCAACTCACAGAGTTTAACTTTTCTTTTCATTCAGCAGTTTGGAAACACTCTGTTTGGAAAGTCTGCACGTGGATATTTTGACCTCTTTGAGGCCTTCGTTGGAAACGGGTTTTTTTCATGTAAGGCTAGACAGAAGAAATCTCAGTAACTTCCTTGTGTTGTGTGTATTCAACTGACAGAGTTGAACCTTCCTTTAGACAGAGCAGATTCGAAACACTCTTTTTCTGCAATTTGCAAGTGGAGACTTCAAGCGCTTTGAGGCCAAAGGCAGAAAAGGAAATATCTTCGTATAAAAACCCGACAGAATCATTCTCAGAAACTGCTCTGTGATGTGTGCGTTCAACTCACAGAGTTTAACTTTTCTTTTCATTCAGCAGTTTGGAAACACTCTGTTTGTAAAGTCTGCAAGTGGATATCTTGGCCTCTTAGAGGCCTTCGTTGGAAACGGGTTTTTTCATGTAAGGTTAGACAGAGGAATTCCCAGTAACTTCCTTGTGTTGTGTGCATTCAACTCACAGAGTTGAATGATTCTTTACACAGAGCAGATTTGAGACACTCTTTTGGTGGAATTTGTAAGTGGAGAATTCAGCCGCTTTGAGGTCAACGGTAGAAAAGGAAATATCTTCGTATAAAAACTAGACAGAATGATTCTCAGAAACTGTTTTGTGATGTGTGCGTTCAACTCACAGAGTTTAACCTTTCTTTTCAAAGAGCAGTTAGGAAACACTCTGTTTGTAAAGTCTGCAAGTGGATATTCAGACCTCTTTGAGGCCTTCGTTGGAAACGGGATTTCTTCATATTATGCTAGACAGATGAATTCTCAGTAACTTCCTTGTGTTGTGTGTATTCAACTCACAGAGTTGAACGATCCTTTACACAGAGCAGATTTGAAACACTGTTTTTCTGGAATTTGCAAGTGGAGATTTCAGCCGCTTTGAGGTCAATGGTAGAAAAGGAAATATCTTCGTATAAAAACTAGACAGAATGATTCTCAGAAACTCCTTTGTGATGTGTGCGTTCAACTCACAGAGTTTAACCTTTCTTTTCACAGAGCAGTTAGGAAACACTCTGTTTGTGAAGCCTGCCAGTGGATATTCGGACCTCTTTGAGGCCTTCGTTGGAAACGGGATTTCTTCATATTATGCTAGACAGAAGATTTCTCAGTAACCTCTTTGTGTTGTGTGTATGCAACTCACAGAGTTCAACCTTCCTTTAGACAGAGCAGATTTGAAACACTCTTTTTGTGGAATTTGCAAGTGGAGATTTCAAGCGCTTTGAGGCCAAAAGCAGAAAAGGAAATATTTTCCTATAAAAACTAGACAGAATCTTTCTCAGAAACTGCTCTGTGATGTGTGCGTTCAACTCACAGAGTTTAACTTTTCTTTTCATTCAGCAGTTTGGAAACACTCTGTTTGTAAAGTCTGCAAGTGGATATCTTGGCCTCTTAGAGGCCTTCGTTGGAAACGGGTTTTTTCATGTAAGGATAGACAGAGGAATTCCCAGTAACTTCCTTGTGTTGTGTGCATTCAACTCACAGAGTTGAATGATTCTTTACACAGAGCAGATTTGAGACACTCTTTTGGTGGAATTTGTAAGTGGAGAATTCAGCCGCTTTGAGGTCAACGGTAGAAAAGGAAATATCTTCGTATAAAAACTAGACAGAATGATTCTCAGAAACTGTTTTGTGATGTGTGCGTTCAACTCACAGAGTTTAACCTTTCTTTTCAGAGAGCAGTTAGGAAACACTCTGTTTGTAAAGTCTGCATGTGGATATTCAGACCTCTTTGAGGCCTTCGTTGGAAACGGGATTTCTTCATATTATGCTAGACAGATGAATTCTCAGTAACTTCCTTGTGTTGTGTGTATTCAACTCACAGAGTTGAACGATCCTTTACACAGAGCAGATTTGAAACACTGTTTTTCTGGAATTTGCAAGTGGAGATGTCAGCCGCTTTGAGGTCAATGGTAGAAAAGGAAATATCTTCGTATAAAAACTAGACAGAATGATTCTCAGAAACTCCTTTGTGATGTGTGCGTTCAACTCACAGAGTTTAACCTTTCTTTTCACAGAGCAGTTAGGAAACACTCTGTTTGTGAAGCCTGCCAGTGGATATTCGGACCTCTTTCAGGCCTTCGTTGGAAACGGGATTTCTTCATATTATGCTAGACAGAAGATTTCTCAGTAACTTCTTTGTGTTGTGTGTATGCAACTCACAGAGTTCAACCTTCCTTTAGAAAGAGCAGATTTGAAACACTCTTTTTGTGGAATTTGCAAGTGGAGATTTCAAGCGCTTCGATGCCAATGGTAGAAAAGGAAATATCTTCGTATAAAAACAAGACAAACTCGTTCCCAGACACTGCGTAGTGATGTGTGTGTTTAACTCACAGAGTTTAACCTTTCTTTTCATACAGCATTCTGGAAACCCTGTGTTTGTAAAGTCTGCAAGTGGATATTTGGACCTCTTAGATGCCTTCGTTGGAAACGGGATTTCTTCATATAATGCTAGAGGGAAGAATTCTTAGTAACTTCTTTGTGTTGTGTGTATTCAACTGACAGAGTTGAACCTTCCTTTAGACAGAGCAGATTTGAAAGTCTCTTTTTGTGGAATTTGCAAGTGGAGATTTCAAGCGCTTTGAGGCCAAAAGCAGAAAAGGAAATATTTTCCTATAAAAACTAGAGAGAATCATTCTCAGAAACTGCTCTGTGATGTGTGTGTTCAACTCACAGAGTTTAACTTTCTTTTCATTCAGCAGTTTGGAAACACTCTGTTTGGAAAGTCTGCACGTGGATATTTTGACCTCTTTGAGGCCTTCGTTGGAAACGGGTTTTTTTCATGTAAGGCTAGACAGAAGAAATCTCAGTAACTTCCTTGTGTTGTGTGTATTCAACTGACAGAGTTGAACCTTCCTTTAGACAGAGCAGATTCGAAACACTCTTTTTCTGCAATTTGCAAGTGGAGACTTCAAGCGCTTTGAGGCCAAAGGCAGAAAAGGAAATATCTTCGTATAAAAACCCGACAGAATCATTCTCAGAAACTGCTCGGTGATGTGTGCGTTCAACTCACAGAGTTTAACTTTTCTTTTCATTCAGCAGTTTGGAAACACTCTGTTTGTAAAGTCTGCAAGTGGATATCTTGGCCTCTTAGAGGCCTTCGTTGGAAACGGGTTTTTTCATGTAAGGTTAGACAGAGGAATTCCCAGTAACTTCCTTGTGTTGTGTGCATTCAACTCACAGAGTTGAATGATTCTTTACACAGAGCAGATTTGAGACACTCTTTTGGTGGAATTTGTAAGTGGAGAATTCAGCCGCTTTGAGGTCAACGGTAGAAAAGGAAATATCTTCGTATAAAAACTAGACAGAATGATTCTCAGAAACTGTTTTGTGATGTGTGCGTTCAACTCACAGAGTTTAACCTTTCTTTTCAAAGAGCAGTTAGGAAACACTCTGTTTGTAAAGTCTGCAAGAGGATATTCAGACCTCTTTGAGGCCTTCGTTGGAAACGGGATTTCTTCATATTATGCTAGACAGATGAATTCTCAGTAACTTCCTTGTGTTGTGTGTATTCAACTCACAGAGTTGAACGATCCTTTACACAGAGCAGATTTGAAACACTGTTTTTCTGGAATTTGCAAGTGGAGATTTCAGCCGCTTTGAGGTCAATGGTAGAAAAGGAAATATCTTCGTATAAAAACTAGACAGAATGATTCTCAGAAACTCCTTTGTGATGTGTGCGTTCAACTCACAGAGTTTAACCTTTCTTTTCACAGAGCAGTTAGGAAACACTCTGTTTGTGAAGCCTGCCAGTGGATATTCGGACCTCTTTGAGGCCTTCGTTGGAAACGGGATTTCTTCATATTATGCTATTCAGAAGATTTCTCAGTAACTTCTTTGTGTTGTGTGTATGCAACTCACAGAGTTCAACCTTCCTTTAGACAGAGCAGATTTGAAACACTCTTTTTGTGGAATTTGCAAGTGGAGATTTCAAGCGCTTCGATGCCAATGGTAGAAAAGGAAATATCTTCGTATAAAAACAAGACAAACTCGTTCCCAGACACTGCGTAGTGATATGTGTGTTTAACTCACAGAGTTTAACCTTTCTTTTCATACAGCATTCTGGAAACCCTGTGTTTGTAAAGTCTGCAAGTGGATATTTGGACCTCTTAGATGCCTTCGTTGGAAACGGGATTTCTTCATATAATGCTAGAGGGAAGAATTCTTAGTAACTTCTTTGTGTTGTGTGTATTCAACTGACAGAGTTGAACCTTCCTTTAGACAGAGCAGATTTGAAAGTCTCTTTTTGTGGAATTTGCAAGTGGAGATTTCAAGCGCTTTGAGGCCAAAAGCAGAAAAGGAAATATTTTCCTATAAAAACTCGACAGAATCTTTCTCAGAAACTGCTCTGGGATGTGTGCGTTCAACTCACAGAGTTTAACTTTTCTTTTCATTCAGCAGTTTGGAAACACTCTGTTTGGAAAGTCTGCACGTGGATATTTTGACCTCTTTGAGGCCTTCGTTGGAAACGGGTTTTTTTCATGTAAGGCTAGACAGAAGAAATCTCAGTAAATTCCCTTGTGTTGTGTGTATTCAACTGACAGAGTTGAACCTTCCTTTAGACAGAGCAGATTCGAAACACTCTTTTTCTGCAATTTGCAAGTGGAGACTTCAAGCGCTTTGAGGCCAAAGGCAGAAAAGGAAATATCTTCGTATAAAAACCCGACAGAATCATTCTCAGAAACTGCTCTGTGATGTGTGCGTTCAACTCACAGAGTTTAACTTTTCTTTTCATTCAGCAGTTTGGAAACACTCTGTTTGTAAAGTCTGCAGGTGGATATCTTGGCCTCTTAGAGGCCTTCGTTGGAAACGGGTTTTTTCATGTAAGGATAGACAGAGGAATTCCCAGTAACTTCCTTGTGTTGTGTGCATTCAACTCACAGAGTTGAATGATTCTTTACACAGAGCAGATTTGAGACACTCTTTTGGTGGAATTTGTAAGTGGAGAATTCAGCCGCTTTGAGGTCAACGGTAGAAAAGGAAATATCTTCGTATAAAAACTAGACAGAATGATTCTCAGAAACTGTTTTGTGATGTGTGCGTTCAACTCACAGAGTTTAACCTTTCTTTTCAAAGAGCAGTTAGGAAACACTCTGTTTGTAAAGTCTGCAAGTGGATATTCAGACCTCTTTGAGGCCTTCGTTGGAAACGGGATTTCTTCATATTATGCTAGACAGATGAATTCTCAGTAACTTCCTTGTGTTGTGTGTATTCAACTCACAGAGTTGAACGATCCTTTACACAGAGCAGATTTGAAACACTGTTTTTCTGGAATTTGCAAGTGGAGATTTCAGCCGCTTTGAGGTCAATGGTAGAAAAGGAAATATCTTCGTATAAAAACTAGACAGAAATGATTCTCAGAAACTCCTTTGTGATGTGTGCGTTCAACTCACAGAGTTTAACCTTTCTTTTCACAGAGCAGTTAGGAAACACTCTGTTTGTGAAGCCTGCCAGTGGATATTCAGACCTCTTTCAGGCCTTCGTTGGAAACGGGATTTCTTCATATTATGCTAGACAGAAGATTTCTCAGTAACTTCTTTGTGTTGTGTGTATGCAACTCACAGAGTTCAACCTTCCTTTAGACAGAGCAGATTTGAAACACTCTTTTTGTGGAATTTGCAAGTGGAGATTTCAAGCGCTTCGATGCCAATGGTAGAAAAGGAAATATCTTCGTATAAAAACAAGACAAACTCGTTCCCAGACACTGCGTAGTGATGTGTGTGTTTAACTCACAGCAGTTTCACCTTTCTTTTCATACAGCATTCTGGAAACCCTCTGTTTGTAAAGTCTGCAAGTGGATATTTGGACCTCTTAGATGCCTTCGTTGGAAACGGGATTTCTTCATATAATGCTAGAGGGAAGAATTCTTAGTAACTTCTTTGTGTTGTGTGTATTCAACTGACAGAGTTGAAGCTTCCTTTAGACAGAGCAGATTTGAAAGTCTCTTTTTGTGGAATTTGCAAGTGGAGATTTCAAGCGCTTTGAGGCCAAAAGCAGAAAAGGAAATATTTTCCTATAAAAACTAGACAGAATCTTTCTCAGAAACTGCTCTGGGATGTGTGCGTTCAACTCACAGAGTTTAACTTTTCTTTTCATTCAGCAGTTTGGAAACACTCTGTTTGGAAAGTCTGCACGTGGATATTTTGACCTCTTTGAGGCCTTCGTTGGAAACGGGTTTTTTTCATGTAACGCTAGACAGAAGAAATCTCAGTAACTTCCTTGTGTTGTGTGTATTCAACTGACAGAGTTGAACCTTCCTTTAGACAGAGCAGATTCGAAACACTCTTTTTCTGCAATTTGCAAGTGGAGACTTCAAGCGCTTTGAGGCCAAAGGCAGAAAAGGAAATATCTTCGTATAAAAACCCGACAGAATCATTCTCAGAAACTGCTCTGTGATGTGTGCGTTCAACTCACAGAGTTTAACTTTTCTTTTCATTCAGCAGTTTGGAAACACTCTGTTTGTAAAGTCTGCAAGTGGATATCTTGGCCTCTTAGAGGCCTTCGTTGGAAACGGGTTTTTTCATGTAAGGTTAGACAGAGGAATTCCCAGTAACTTCCTTGTGTTGTGTGCATTCAACTCACAGAGTTGAATGATTCTTTACACAGAGCAGATTTGAGACACTCTTTTGGTGGAATTTGTAAGTGGAGAATTCAGCTGCTTTGAGGTCAACGGTAGAAAAGGAAATATCTTCGTATAAAAACTAGACAGAATGATTCTCAGAAACTGTTTTGTGATGTGTGCGTTCAACTCACAGAGTTTAACCTTTCTTTTCAAAGAGCAGTTAGGAAACACTCTGTTTGTAAAGTCTGCAAGTGGATATTCAGACCTCTTTGAGGCCTTCGTTGGAAACGGGATTTCTTCATATTATGCTAGACAGATGAATTCTCAGTAACTTCCTTGTGTTGTGTGTATTCAACTCACAGAGTTGAACGATCCTTTACACAGAGCAGATTTGAAACACTGTTTTTCTGGAATTTGCAAGTGGAGATTTCAGCCGCTTTGAGGTCAATGGTAGAAAAGGAAATATCTTCTGTATAAAAACTAGACAGAATGATTCTCAGAAACTCCTTTGTGATGTGTGCGTTCAACTCACAGAGTTTAACCTTTCTTTTCACAGAGCAGTTAGGAAACACTCTGTTTGTGAAGCCTGCCAGTGGATATTCGGACCTCTTTGAGGCCTTCGTTGGAAACGGGATTTCTTCATATTATACTAGACAGAAGATTTCTCAGTAACTTCTTTGTGTTGTGTGTATGCAACTCACAGAGTTCAACCTTCCTTTAGACAGAGCAGATTTGAAACACTCTTTTTGTGGAATTTGCAAGTGGAGATTTCAAGCGCTTCGATGCCAATGGTAGAAAAGGAAATATCTTCGTATAAAAACAAGACAAACTCGTTCCCAGACACTGCGTAGTGATGTGTGTGTTTAACTCACTGAGTTTCACCTTTCTTTTCATACAGCATTCTGGAAACCCTCTGTTTGTAAAGTCTGCAAGTGGATATTTGGACCTCTTAGATGCCTTCGTTGGAAACGGGATTTCTTCATATAATGCTAGAGGGAAGAATTCTTAGTAACTTCTTTGTGTTGTGTGTATTCAACTGACAGAGTTGAACCTTCCTTTAGACAGAGCAGATTTGAAAGTCTCTTTTTGTGGAATTTGCAAGTGGAGATTTCAAGCGCTTTGAGGCCAAAAGCAGAAAAGGAAATATTTTCCTATAAAAACTCGACAGAATCATTCTCAGAAACTGCTCTGTGATGTGTGCGTTCAACTCACAGAGTTTAACTTTTCTTTTCATTCAGCAGTTTGGAAACACTCTGTTTGTAAAGTCTGCAAGTGGATATATTGGCCTCTTAGAGGCCTTCGTTGGAAACGGGTTTTTTTCATGTAAGGCTAGACAGAAGAAATCTCAGTAACTTCCTTGTGTTGTGTGTATTCAACTGACAGAGTTGAACCTTCCTTTAGACAGAGCAGATTCGAAACACTCTTTTTCTGCAATTTGCAAGTGGAGACTTCAAGCGCTTTGAGGCCAAAGGCAGAAAAGGAAATATCTTCGTATAAAAACCCGACAGAATCATTCTCAGAAACTGCTCTGTGATGTGTGCGTTCAACTCACAGAGTTTAACTTTTCTTTTCATTCAGCAGTTTGGAAACACTCTGTTTGTAAAGTCTGCAAGTGGATATCTTGGCCTCTTAGAGGCCTTCGTTGGAAACGCGTTTTTTCATGTAAGGTTAGACAGAGGAATTCCCAGTAACTTCCCTTGTGTTGTGTGCATTCAACTCACAGAGTTGAATGATTCTTTACACAGAGCAGATTTGAGACACTCTTTTGGTGGAATTTGTAAGTGGAGAATTCAGCCGCTTTGAGGTCAACGGTAGAAAAGGAAATATCTTCGTATAAAAACTAGAAAGAATGATTCTCAGAAACTGTTTTGTGATGTGTGCGTTCAACTCACAGAGTTTAACCTTTCTTTTCAAAGAGCAGTTAGGAAACACTCTGTTTGTGAAGTCTGCCAGTGGATATACGGACCTCTTTGAGGCCTTCCTTGGAAACGGGATTTCTTCATATTATGCTAGACAGATTTCTCAGTAACTACTTTGTGTTATGTGTATGCAACTCACAGAGTTCATCCTTCCTTTAGACAGAGCAGATTTGAAACACTCTTTTTGTGGAATTTGCAAGTGGAGATTTCAAGCGCTTCGACGCCAATGGTCGAAAAGGAAATATCTTCGTATAAAAACAAGACAAAATCATTCCCAGAAACTGCGTAGTGATGTGTGTGTTTAACTCACAGAGTTTCACCTTTCTTTTCATACAGAATTCTGGAAACCCTCTGTTTGTAAAGTCTGCAAGTGGATATTTGGACCTCTTAGATGCCTTCGTTGGAAAAGGGATTTCGTCATATAATGGTAGAGGGAAGAATTCTCAGTAACTTCTTTGTGTTGTCTGTATTCAACTGACAGAGTTGAACCTTCCTTTAGACAGAGCAGATTTGAAAGTCTCTTTTTGTGGAATTTGCAAGTGGAGATTTCAAGCGCTTTGAGGCCAAAAGCAGAAAAGGAAATATTTTCCTATAAAAACTAGACAGAATCATTCTCAGAAACTGCTCTGTGATGTGTGCGTTCAACTCACACAGTTTAACTTTTCTTTTCATTCAGCAGTTTGGAAACACTCTGTTTGGAAAGTCTGCACGTGGATATTTTGACCTCTTTGAGGCCTTCGTTGGAAACGGGTTTTATCATGTAAGGCTAGACAGAGGAAATCTCCGTAACTTCCTTGTGTTGTGTGTATTCAACTGACAGGGTTGAACCTTCCTTTAGACAGAGCAGATTCGAAACACTCTTTTTCTGCAATTTGCAAGTGGAGACTTCAAGCGCTTTGAGGCCAAAGGCAGAAAAGGAAATATCTTCGTATAAAAACCCGACAGAATCATTCTCAGAAACTGCTCTGTGATGTGTGCGTTCAACTCACAGAGTTTAACTTTTCTTTTCATTCAGCAGTTTGGAAACACTCTGTTTGTAAAGTCTGCAAGTGGATATCTTGGCCTCTTAGAGGCCTTCGTTGGAAACGGGTTTTTTCATGTAAGGTTAGACAGAGGAATTCCCAGTAACTTCCTTGTGTTGTGTGCATTCAACTCACAGAGTTGAATGATTCTTTACACAGAGCAGTTTTGAGACACTCTTTTGGTGGAATTTGTAAGTGGAGAATTCAGCCGCTTTGAGGTCAACGGTAGAAAAGGAAATATCTTCGTATAAAAACTAGACAGAATGATTCTCAGAAACTGTTTTGTGATGTGTGCGTTCAACTCACAGAGTTTAACCTTTCTTTTCAAAGAGCAGTTAGGAAACACTCTGTTTGTAAAGTCTGCAAGTGGATATTCAGACCTCTTTGAGGCCTTCGTTGGAAACGGGATTTCTTCATATTATGCTAGACAGATGAATTCTCAGTAACTTCCCTTGTGTTGTGTGTATTCAACTCACAGAGTTGAACGATCCTTTACACAGAGCAGATTTGAAACACTGTTTTTCTGGAATTTGCAAGTGGAGATTTCAGCCGCTTTGAGGTCAATGGTAGAAAAAGAAATATCTTCGTATAAAAACTAGACAGAATGATTCTCAGAAACTCCTTTGTGATGTGTGCGTTCAACTCACAGGGTTTAACCTTTCTTTTCACAGAGCAGTTAGGAAACACTCTGTTTGTGAAGCCTGCCAGTGGATATTCGGACCTCTTTGAGGCCTTCGTTGGAAACGGGATTTCTTCATATTATGCTAGACAGAAGATTTCTCAGTAACTTCTTTGTGTTGTGTGTATGCAACTCACAGAGTTCAACCTTCCTTTAGACAGAGCAGATTTGAAACACTCTTTTTGTGGAATTTGCAAGTGGAGATTTCAAGCGCTTCGATGCCAATGGTAGAAAAGGAAATATCTTCGTATAAAAACAAGACAAACTCGTTCCCAGACACTGCGTAGTGATGTGTGTGTTTAACTCACAGAGTTTCACCTTTCTTTTCATACAGCATTCTGGAAACCCTGTGTTTGTAAAGTCTGCAAGTGGATATTTGGACCTCTTAGATGCCTTCGTTGGAAACGGGTTTTCTTCATATAATGCTAGAGGGAAGAATTCTTAGTAACTTCTTTGTGTTGTGTGTATTCAACTGACAGAGTTGAACCTTCCTTTAGACAGAGCAGATTTGAAAGTCTCTTTTTGTGGAATTTGCAAGTGGAGATTTCAAGCGCTTTGAGGCCAAAAGCAGAAAAGGAAATATTTTCCTATAAAAACTCGACAGAATCTTTCTCAGAAACTGCTCTGTGATGTGTGCGTTCAACTCACAGAGTTTAACTTTTCTTTTCATTCAGCAGTTTGGAAACACTCTGTTTGGAAAGTCTGCACGTGGATATTTTGACCTCTTTGAGGCCTTCGTTGGAAACGGGTTTTTTTCATGTAAGGCTAGACAGAAGAAATCTCAGTAAATTCCCTTGTGTTGTGTGTATTCAACTGACAGAGTTGAACCTTCCTTTAGACAGAGCAGATTCGAAACACTCTTTTTCTGCAATTTGCAAGTGGAGACTTCAAGCGCTTTGAGGCCAAAGGCAGAAAAGGAAATATCTTCGTATAAAAACCCGACAGAATCACTCTCAGAAACTGCTCTGTGATGTGTGCGTTCAACTCACAGAGTTTAACTTTTCTTTTCATTCAGCAGTTTGGAAACACTCTGTTTGTAAAGTCTGCAAGTGGATATCTTGGCCTCTTAGAGGCCTTCGTTGGAAACGGGTTTTTTCATGTAAGGATAGACAGAGGAATTCCCAGTAACTTCCTTGTGTTGTGTGCATTCAACTCACAGAGTTGAATGATTCTTTACACAGAGCAGATTTGAGACACTCTTTTGGTGGAATTTGTAAGTGGAGAATTCAGCCGCTTTGAGGTCAACGGTAGAAAAGGAAATATCTTCGTATAAAAACTAGGCAGAATGATTCTCAGAAACTGTTTTGTGATGTGTGCGTTCAACTCACAGAGTTTAACCTTTCTTTTCAAAGAGCAGTTAGGAAACACTCTGTTTGTAAAGTCTGCAAGTGGATATTCAGACCTCTTTGAGGCCTTCGTTGGAAACGGGATTTCTTCATATTATGCTAGACAGATGAATTCTCAGTAACTTCCTTGTGTTGTGTGTATTCAACTCACAGGGTTGAACGATCCTTTACACAGAGCAGATTTGAAACACTCTTTTTCTGGAATTTGCAAGTGGAGATTTCAGCCGCTTTGAGGTCAATGGTAGAAAAGGAAATATCTTCGTATAAAAAGTAGACAGAATGATTCTCAGAAACTCCTTTGTGATGTGTGCGTTCAACTCACAGAGTTTAACCTTTCTTTTCACAGAGCAGTTAGGAAACACTCTGTTTGTGAAGTCTGCCAGTGGATATTCGGACCTCTTTGAGGCCTTCCTTGGAAACGGGATTTCTTCATATTATGCTAGACAGATTTCTCAGTAACTACTTTGTGTTATGTGTATGCAACTCACAGAGTTCATCCTTCCTTTAGACAGAGCAGATTTGAAACACTCTTTTTGTGGAATTTGCAAGTGGAGATTTCAAGCGCTTCGACGCCAATGGTCGAAAAGGAAATATCTTCGTATAAAAACAAGACAAACTCGTTCCCAGACACTGCGTAGTGATGTGTGTGTTTAACTCACAGAGTTTCACCTTTCTTTTCATACAGCATTCTGGAAACCCTGTGTTTGTAAAGTCTGCAAGTGGATATTTGGACCTCTTAGATGCCTTCGTTGGAAACGGGATTTCTTCATATAATGCTAGAGGGAAGAATTCTTAGTAACTTCTTTGTGTTGTGTGTATTCAGCTGACAGAGTTGAACCTTCCTTTAGACAGAGCAGATTTGAAAGTCTCTTTTTGTGGAATTTGCAAGTGGAGATTTCAAGCACTTTGAGGCCAAAAGCAGAAAAGGAAATATTTTCCTATAAAAACTCGACAGAATCTTTCTCAGAAACTGCTCTGGGATGTGTGCGTTCAACTCACAGAGTTTAACTTTTCTTTCCATTCAGCAGTTTGGAAACACTCTGTTTGGAAAGTCTGCACGTGGATATTTTGACCTCTTTGAGGCCTTCGTTGGAAACGGGTTTTTTTCTTGTAAGGCTAGACAGAAGAAATCTCAGTAACTTCCTTGTGTTGTGTGTATTCAACTGACAGAGTTGAACCTTCCTTTAGACAGAGCAGATTCGAAACACTCTTTTTCTGCAATTTGCAAGTGGAGACTTCAAGCGCTTTGAGGCCAAAGGCAGAAAAGGAAATATCTTCGTATAAAAACCCGACAGAATCATTCTCAGAAACTGCTCTGGGATGTGTGCGTTCAACTCACAGAGTTTAACTTTTCTTTTCATTCAGCAGTTTGGAAACACTCTGTTTGTAAAGTCTGCAAGTGGATATCTTGGCCTCTTAGAGGCCTTCGTTGGAAACGGGTTTTTTCATGTAAGGTTAGACAGAGGAATTCCCAGTAACTTCCTTGTGTTGTGTGCATTCAACTCACAGAGTTGAATGATTCTTTACACAGAGCAGATTTGAGACACTCTTTGGGTGGAATTTGTAAGTGGAGAATTCAGCCGCTTTGAGGTCAACGGTAGAAAAGGAAATATCTTCGTATAAAAACTAGACAGAATGATTCTCAGAAACTGTTTTGTGATGTGTGCGTTCAACTCACAGAGTTTAACCTTTCTTTTCAAAGAGCAGTTAGGAAACACTCTGTAAAATCTGCAAGTGGATATTCAGACCTCTTTGAGGCCTTCGTTGGAAACGGGATTTCTTCATATAATGCTAGAGGGATGAATTCTCAGTAACTTCCTTGTGTTGTGTGTATTCAACTCACAGAGTTGAACGATCCTTTACACAGAGCAGATTTGAAACACTGTTTTTCTGGAATTTGCAAGTGGAGATTTCAGCCGCTTTGAGGTCAATGGTAGAAAAGGAAATATCTTCGTATAAAAACTAGACAGAATGATTCTCAGAAACTCCTTTGTGATGTGTGCGTTCAACTCACAGAGTTTAACCTTTCTTTTCACAGAGCAGTTAGGAAACACTCTGTTTGTGAAGCCTGCCAGTGGATATTCGGACCTCTTTGAGGCCTTCGTTGGAAACGGGATTTCTTCATATTATGCTAGACAGAAGATTTCTCAGTAACTTCTTTGTGTTGTGTGTATGCAACTCACAGAGTTCAACCTTCCTTTAGACAGAGCAGATTTGAAACACTCTTTTTGTGGAATTTGCAAGTGGAGATTTCAAGCGCTTCGATGCCAATGGTAGAAAAGGAAATATCTTCGTATAAAAACAAGACAAACTCGTTCCCAGACACTGCGTAGTGATATGTGTGTTTAACTCACAGAGTTTAACCTTTCTTTTCATACAGCATTCTGGAAACCCCCTGTTTGTAAAGTCTGCAAGTGGATATTTGGACCTCTTAGATGCCTTCGTTGGGAACGGGATTTCTTCATATAATGCTAGAGGGAAGAATTCTTAGTAACTTCTTTGTGTTGTGTGTATTCAACTGACAGAGTTGAACCTTCCTTTAGACAGAGCAGATTTGAAAGTCTCTTTTTGTGGAATTTGCAAGTGGAGATTTCAAGCGCTTTGAGGCCAAAAGCAGAAAAGGAAATATTTTCCTATAAAAACTAGACAGAATCTTTCTCAGAAACTGCTCTGGGATGTGTGCGTTCAACTCACATAGTTTAACTTTTCTTTTCATTCAGCAGTTTGGAAACACTCTGTTTGGAAAGTCTGCACGTGGATATTTTGACATCTTTGAGGCCTTCGTTGGAAACGGGTTTTTTTCATGTAAGGCTAGACAGAAGAAATCTCAGTAACTTCCTTGTGTTGTGTGTATTCAACTGACAGAGTTGAACCTTCCTTTAGACAGAGCAGATTCGAAACACTCTTTTTCTGCAATTTGCAAGTGGAGACTTCAAGCGCTTTGAGGCCAAAGGCAGAAAAGGAAATATCTTCGTATAAAAACCCGACAGAATCATTCTCAGAAACTGCTCTGTGATGTGTGCGTTCAACTCACAGAGTTTAACTTTTCTTTTCATTCAGCAGTTTGGAAACACTCTGTTTGTAAAGTCTGCAAGTGGATATCTTGACCTCTTAGAGGCCTTCGTTGGAAGCGGGTTTTTTCATGTAAGGATAGACAGAGGAATTCCCAGTAACTTCCTTGTGTTGTGTGCATTCAACTCACAGAGTTGAATGATTCTTTACACAGAGCAGATTTGAGACACTCTTTTGGTGGAATTTGTAAGTGGAGAATTCAGCCGCTTTGAGGTCAACGGTAGAAAAGGAAATATCTTCGTATAAAAACTAGACAGAATGATTCTCAGAAACTGTTTTGTGATGTGTGCGTTCAACTCACAGAGTTTAACCTTTCTTTTCAAAGAGCAGTTAGGAAACACTCTGTTTGTAAAGTCTGCAAGTGGATATTCAGACCTCTTTGAGGCCTTCGTTGGAAACGGGATTTCTTCATATTATGCTAGACAGATGAATTCTCAGTAACTTCCCTTGTGTTGTGTGTATTCAACTCACAGAGTTGAACGATCCTTTACACAGAGCAGATTTGAAACACTGTTTTTCTGGAATTTGCAAGTGGAGATTTCAGCCGCTTTGAGGTCAATGGTAGAAAAGGAAATATCTTCGTATAAAAACTAGACAGAATGATTCTCAGAAACTCCTTTGTGATGTGTGCGTTCAACTCACAGAGTTTAACCTTTCTTTTCACAGAGCAGTTAGGAAACACTCTGTTTGTGAAGCCTGCCAGTGGATATTCGGACCTCTTTGAGGCCTTCGTTGGAAACGGGATTTCTTCATATTATGCTAGACAGAAGATTTCTCAGTAACTTCTTTGTGTTGTGTGTATGCAACTCACAGAGTTCAACCTTCCTTTAGACAGAGCAGATTTGAAACACTCTTTTTGTGGAATTTGCAAGTGGAGATTTCAAGCGCTTCGATGCCAATGGTAGAAAAGGAAATATCTTCGTATAAAAACAAGACAAACTCGTTCCCAGACACTGCGTAGTGATGTGTGTGTTTAACTCACAGAGTTTCACCTTTCTTTTCATACAGCATTCTGGAAACCCTCTGTTTGTAAAGTCTGCAAGTGGATATTTGGACCTCTTAGATGCCTTCGTTGGAAACGGGATTTCTTCATATAATGCTAGAGGGAAGAATTCTTAGTAACTTCTTTGTGTTGTGTGTATTCAACTGACAGAGTTGAACCTTCCTTTAGACAGAGCAGATTTGAAAGTCTCTTTTTGTGGAATTTGCAAGTGGAGATTTCAAGCGCTTTGAGGCCAAAAGCAGAAAAGGAAATATTTTCCTATAAAAACTAGACAGAATCATTCTCAGAAACTGCTCTGTGATGTGTGTGTTCAACTCACAGAGTTTAACTTTCTTTTCATTCAGCAGTTTGGAAACACTCTGTTTGGAAAGTCTGCACGTGGATATTTTGACCTCTTTGAGGCCTTCGTTGGAAACGGGTTTTTTTCATGTAAGGCTAGACAGAAGAAATCTCAGTAACTTCCTTGTGTTGTGTGTATTCAACTGACAGAGTTGAACCTTCCTTTAGACAGAGCAGATTCGAAACACTCTTTTTCTGCAATTTGCAAGTGGAGACTTCAAGCGCTTTGAGGCCAAAGGCAGAAAAGGAAATATCTTCGTATAAAAACCCGACAGAATCATTCTCAGAAACTGCTCTGTGATGTGTGCGTTCAACTCACAGAGTTTAACTTTTCTTTTCATTCAGCAGTTTGGAAACACTCTGTTTGTAAAGTCTGCAAGTGGATATCTTGGCCTCTTAGAGGCCTTCGTTGGAAACGCGTTTTTTCATGTAAGGTTAGACAGAGGAATTCCCCAGTAACTTCCTTGTGTTGTGTGCATTCAACTCACAGAGTTGAATGATTCTTTACACAGAGCAGATTTGAGACACACTTTTGGTGGAATTTGTAAGTGGAGAATTCAGCCGCTTTGAGGTCAACGGTAGAAAAGGAAATATCTTCGTATAAAAACTAGAAAGAATGATTCTCAGAAACTGTTTTGTGATGTGTGCTTTCAACTCACAGAGTTTAACCTTTCTTTTCAAAGAGCAGTTAGGAAACACTCTGTTTGTAAAGTCTGCAAGTGGATATTCAGACCTCTTTGAGGCCTTCGTTGGAAACGGGATTTCTTCATATTATGCTAGACAGATGAATTCTCAGTAACTTCCTTGTGTTGTGTGTATTCAACTCACAGAGTTGAACGATCCTTTACACAGAGCAGATTTGAAACACTGTTTTTCTGGAATTTGCAAGTGGAGATTTCACCCGCTTTGAGGTCAATGGTAGAAAAGGAAATATCTTCGTATAAAAACTGGACAGAATGATTCTCAGAAACTCCTTTGTGATGTGTGCGTTCAACTCACAGAGTTTAACCTTTCTTTTCACAGAGCAGTTAGGAAACACTCTGTTTGTGAAGCCTGCCAGTGGATATTCGGACCTCTTTGAGGCCTTCGTTGGAAACGGGATTTCTTCATATTTTGCTAGACAGAAGATTTCTCAGTAACTTCTTTGGGTTGTGTGTATGCAACTCACAGAGTTCAACCTTCCTTTAGACAGAGCAGATTTGAAACACTCTTTTTGTGGAATTTGCAAGTGGAGATTTCAAGCGCTTCGATGCCAATGGTAGAAAAGGAAATATCTTCGTATAAAAACAAGACAAACTCGTTCCCAGACACTGCGTAGTGATGTGTGTGTTTAACTCACAGAGTTTCACCTTTCTTTTCATACAGCATTCTGGAAACCCTCTGTTTGTAAAGTCTGCAAGTGGATATTTGGACCTCTTAGATGCCTTCGTTGGAAACGGGATTTCTTCATATAATGCTAGAGGGAAGAATTCTTAGTAACTTCTTTGTGTTGTGTGTATTCAACTGACAGAGTTGAACCTTCGTTTAGACAGAGCAGATTTGAAAGTCTCTTTTTTTGGAATTTGCAAGTGGAGATTTCAAGCGCTTTGAGGCCAAAAGCAGAAAAGGAAATATTTTCCTATAAAAACTAGACAGAATCTTTCTCAGAAACTGCTCTGGGATGTGTGTGTTCAACTCACAGAGTTTAACTTTTCTTTTCATTCAGCAGTTTGGAAACACTCTGTTTGGAAAGTCTGCACGTGGATATTTTGACCTCTTTGAGGCCTTCGTTGGAAACGAGTTTTTTTCATATAAGGCTAGACAGAAGAAATCTCAGTAACTTCCTTGTGTTGTGTGTATTCAACTGACAGAGTTGAACCTTCTTTTAGACAGAGCAGATTCGAAACACTCTTTTTCTGCAATTTGCAAGTGGAGACTTCAAGCGCTTTGAGGCCAAAGGCAGAAAAGGAAATATTCTTCGTATAAAAACCCGACAGAATCATTCTCAGAAACTGCTCTGTGATGTGTGCGTTCAACTCACAGAGTTTAACTTTTCTTTTCATTCAGCAGTTTGTAAACACTCTGTGTGTAAAGTCTGCAAGTGCATATATTGACCTCTTTGAGTCCTTCATTGGATACGGGCTTTTTCCATGTAAGGCTAGACAGAGGAATTCCCAGTAACTTCCTTGTGTTGTGTGCATTCAACTCACAGAGTTGAATGATTCTTTACACAGAGCAGATTTGAGACACTCTTTTGGTGGAATTTGTAAGTGGAGAATTCAGCCGCTTTGATGTCAACGGTAGAAAAGGAAATATCTTCGTATAAAAACTAGACAGAATGATTCTCAGAAACTGTTTTGTGATGTGTGCTTTCAACTCACAGAGTTTAACCTTTCTTTTCAAAGAGCAGTTAGGAAACACTCTGTTTGTAAAGTCTGCAAGTGGATATTCAGACCTCTTTGAGGCCTTCGTTGGAAACGGGATTTCTTCATATTATGCTAGACAGATGAATTCTCAGTAACTTCCTTGTGTTGTGTGTATTCAACTCACAGAGTTGAACGATCCTTTACACAGAGCAGATTTGAAACACTGTTTTTCTGGAATTTGCAAGTGGAGATTTCAGCCGCTTTGAGGTCAATGGTAGAAAAAGAAATATCTTCGTATAAAAACTAGACAGAATGATTCTCAGAAACTCCTTTGTGATGTGTGCGTTCAACTCACAGTAGTTTAACCTTTCTTTTCACAGAGCAGTTAGGAAACACTCTGTTTGTGAAGCCTGCCAGTGGATATTCGGACCTCTTTGAGGCCTTCGTTGGAAACGGGATTTCTTCATATTATGCTAGACAGAAGATTTCTCAGTAACTTCTTTGTGTTGTGTGTATGCAACTCACAGAGTTCAACCTTCCTTTAGACAGAGCAGATTTGAAACACTCTTTTTGTGGAATTTGCAAGTGGAGATTTCAAGCGCTTCGATGCCAATGGTAGAAAAGGAAATATCTTCGTATAAAAACAAGACAAACTCGTTCCCAGACACTGCGTAGTGATGTGTGTGTTTAACTCACAGAGTTTCACCTTTCTTTTCATACAGCATTCTGGAAACCCTCTGTTTGTAAAGTCTGCAAGTGGATATTTGGACCTCTTAGATGCCTTCGTTGCAAACGGGATTTCTTCATATAATGCTAGAGGGAAGAATTCTTAGTAACTTCTTTGTGTTGTGTGTATTCAACTGACAGAGTTGAACCTTCCTTTAGACAGAGCAGATTTGAAAGTCTCTTTTTGTGGAATTTGCAAGTGGAGATTTCAAGCGCTTTGAGGCCAAAAGCAGAAAAGGAAATATTTTCCTATAAAAACTAGACAGAATCTTTCTCAGAAACTGCTCTGGGATGTGTGCGTTCAACTCACAGAGTTTAACTTTTCTTTTCATTCAGCAGTTTGGAAACACTCTGTTTGGAAAGTCTGCACGTGGATATTTTGACCTCTTTGAGGCCTTCGTTGGAAACGGGTTTTTTTCATGTAACGCTAGACAGAAGAAATCTCAGTAACTTCCTTGTGTTGTGTGTATTCAACTGACAGAGTTGAACCTTCCTTTAGACAGAGCAGATTCGAAACACTCTTTTTCTGCAATTTGCAAGTGGAGACTTCAAGCGCTTTGAGGCCAAAGGCAGAAAAGGAAATATCTTCGTATAAAAACCCGACAGAATCATTCTCAGAAACTGCTCTGTGATGTGTGCGTTCAACTCACAGAGTTTAACTTTTCTTTTCATTCAGCAGTTTGGAAACACTCTGTTTGTAAAGTCTGCAAGTGGATATCTTGGCCTCTTAGAGGCCTTCGTTGGAAACGGGTTTTTTCATGTAAGGATAGACAGAGGAATTCCCAGTAACTTCCTTGTGTTGTGTGCATTCAACTCACAGAGTTGAATGATTCTTTACACAGAGCAGATTTGAGACACTCTTTTGGTGGAATTTGTAAGTGGAGAATTCAGCCGCTTTGAGGTCAACGGTAGAAAAGGAAATATCTTCGTATAAAAACTAGACAGAATGATTCTCAGAAACTGTTTTGTGATGTGTGCGTTCAACTCACAGAGTTTAACCTTTCTTTTCAAAGAGCAGTTAGGAAACACTCTGTAAAGTCTGCAAGTGGATATTCAGACCTCTTTGAGGCCTTCGTTGGAAACGGGATTTCTTCATATTATGCTAGACAGATGAATTCTCAGTAACTTCCTTGTGTTGTGTGTATTCAACTCACAGAGTTGAACGATCCTTTACACAGAGCAGATTTGAAACACTGTTTTTCTGGAATTTGCAAGTGGAGATTTCAGCCGCTTTGAGGTCAATGGTAGAAAAGGAAATATCTTCGTATAAAAACTAGACAGAATGATTCTCAGAAACTCCTTTGTGATGTGTGCGTTCAACTCACAGAGTTTAACCTTTCTTTTCACAGAGCAGTTAGGAAACACTGTGTTTGTGAAGCCTGCCAGTGGATATTCGGACCTCTTTGAGGCCTTCGTTGGAAACGGGATTTCTTCATATTATGCTAGACAGAAGATTTCTCAGTAACTTCTTTGGGTTGTGTGTATGCAACTCACAGAGTTCAACCTTCCTTTAGACAGAGCAGATTTGAAACACTCTTTTTGTGGAATTTGCAAGTGGAGATTTCAAACGCTTCGATGCCAATGGTAGAAAAGGAAATATCTTCGTATAAAAACAAGACAAACTCATTCCCAGACACTGCGTAGTGATGTGTGTGTTTAACTCACAGAGTTTAACCTTTCTTTTCATACAGCATTCTGGAAACCCTCTGTTTGTAAAGTCTGCAAGTGGATATTTGGACCTCTTAGATGCCTTCGTTGGAAACGGGATTTCTTCATATAATGCTAGAGGGAAGAATTCTTAGTAACTTCTTTGTGTTGTGTGTATTCAACTGACAGAGTTGAACCTTCCTTTAGACAGAGCAGATTTGAAAGTCTCTTTTTGTGGAATTTGCAAGTGGAGATTTCAAGCGCTTTGAGGCCAAAAGCAGAAAAGGAAATATTTTCCTATAAAAACTCGACAGAATCATTCTCAGAAACTGCTCTGTGATGTGTGCGTTCAACTCACAGAGCTTAACTTTTCTTTTCATTCAGCAGTTTGGAAACACTCTGTTTGGAAAGTCTGCACGTGGATATTTTGACCTCTTCGAGGCCTTCGTTGGAAACGGGTTTTTTTCATGTAAGGCTAGACAGAAGAAATCTCAGTAACTTCCTTGTGTTGTGTGTATTCAGTTGACAGGGTTGAACCTTCCTTTAGACAGAGCAGATTCGAAACACTCTTTTTCTGCAATTTGCAAGTGGAGACTTCTAGCGCATTGAGGCCAAAGGCAGAAAAGGAAATATCTTCGTATAAAAACCCGACAGAATCATTCTCAGAAACTGCTCTGTGATGTGTGCGTTCAACTCACAGAGTTTAACTTTTCTTTTCATTCAGCAGTTTGGAAACACTCTGTTTGTAAAGTCTGCAAGTGGATATCTTGGCCTCTTAGAGGCCTTCGTTGGAAACGCGTTTTTTCATGTAAGGTTAGACAGAGGAATTCCCAGTAACTTCCTTGTGTTGTGTGCATTCAACTCACAGAGTTGAATGATTCTTTACACAGAGCAGATTTGAGACACTCTTTTGGTGGAATTTGTAAGTGGAGAATTCAGCCGCTTTGAGGTCAACGGTAGAAAAGGAAATATCTTCGTATAAAAACTAGAAAGAATGATTCTCAGAAACTGTTTTGTGATGTGTGCGTTCAACTCACAGAGTTTAACCTTTCTTTTCAAAGAGCAGTTAGGAAACACTCTGTTTGTAAAGTCTGCAAGTGGATATTCAGACCTCTTTGAAGCCTTCGTTGGAAACGGGATTTCTTCATATTATGCTAGACAGATGAATTCTCAGTAACTTCCTTGTGTTGTGTGTATTCAACTCACAGAGTTGAACGATCCTTTACACAGAGCAGATTTGAAACACTGTTTTTCTGGAATTTGCAAGTGGAGATTTCAGCCGCTTTGAGGTCAATGGTAGAAAAAGAAATATCTTCGTATAAAAACTAGACAGAATGATTCTCAGAAACTCCTTTGTGATGTGTGCGTTCAACTCACAGAGTTTAACCTTTCTTTTCACAGAGCAGTTAGGAAACACTCTGTTTGTGAAGCCTGCCAGTGGATATTCGGACCTCTTTGAGGCCTTCGTTGGAAACGGGATTTCTTCATATTATGCTAGACAGAAGATTTCTCAGTAACTTCTTTGTGTTGTGTGTATGCAACTCACAGAGTTCAACCTTCCTTTAGACAGAGCAGATTTGAAACACTCTTTTTGTGGAATTTGCAAGTGGAGATTTCAAGCGCTTCGATGCCAATGGTAGAAAAGGAAATATCTTCGTATAAAAACAAGACAAACTCGTTCCCAGACACTGCGTAGTGATGTGTGTGTTTAACTCACAGAGTTTAACCTTTCTTTTCATACAGCATTCTGGAAACCCTCTGTTTGTAAAGTCTGCAAGTGGATATTTGGACCTCTTAGATGCCTTCGTTGGAAACGGGATTTCTTCATATAATGCTAGAGGGAAGAATTCTTAGTAACTTCTTTGTGTTGTGTGTATTCAACTGACAGAGTTGAACCTTCCTTTAGACAGAGCAGATTTGAAAGTCTCTTTTTGTGGAATTTGCAAGTGGAGATTTCAAGCGCTTTGAGGCCAAAAGCAGAAAAGGAAATATTTTCCTATAAAAACTCGACAGAATCTTTCTCAGAAACTGCTCTGGGATGTGTGCGTTCAACTCACAGAGTTTAACTTTTCTTTTCATTCAGCAGTTTGGAAACACTCTGTTTGGAAAGTCTGCACGTGGATATTTTGACCTCTTTGAGGCCTTCGTTGGAAACGGGTTTTTTTCATGTAAGGCTAGACAGAAGAAATCTCAGTAACTTCCTTGTGTTGTGTGTATTCAACTGACAGAGTTGAACCTTCCTTTAGACAGAGCAGATTCGAAACACTCTTTTTCTGCAATTTGCAAGTGGAGACTTCAAGCGCTTTGAGGCCAAAGGCAGAAAAGGAAATATCTTCGTATAAAAACCCGACAGAATCATTCTCAGAAACTGCTCTGTGATGTGTGCGTTCAACTCACAGAGTTTAACTTTTCTTTTCATTCAGCAGTTTGGAAACACTCTGTTTGTAAAGTCTGCAAGTGGATATCTTGGCCTCTTAGAGGCCTTCGTTGGAAACGGGTTTTTTCATGTAAGGTTAGACAGAGGAATTCCCAGTAACTTCCTTGTGTTGTGTGCATTCAACTCACAGAGTTGAATGATTCTTTACACAGAGCAGTTTTGAGACACTCTTTTGGTGGAATTTGTAAGTGGAGAATTCAGCCGCTTTGAGGTCAACGGTAGAAAAGGAAATATCTTCGTATAAAAACTAGACAGAATGATTCTCAGAAACTGTTTTGTGATGTGTGCGTTCAACTCACAGAGTTTAACCTTTCTTTTCAAAGAGCAGTTAGGAAACACTCTGTTTGTAAAGTCTGCAAGTGGATATTCAGACCTCTTTGAGGCCTTCGTTGGAAACGGGATTTCTTCATATTATGCTAGACAGATGAATTCTCAGTAACTTCCTTGTGTTGTGTGTATTCAACTCACAGAGTTGAACGATCCTTTACACAGAGCAGATTTGAAACACTGTTTTTCTGGAATTTGCAAGTGGAGATTTCAGCCGCTTTGAGGTCAATGGTAGAAAAGGAAATATCTTCGTATAAAAACTAGACGAGAATGATTCTCAGAAACTCCTTTGTGATGTGTGCGTTCAACTCACAGAGTTTAACCTTTCTTTTCACAGAGCAGTTAGGAAACACTCTGTTTGTGAAGCCTGCCAGTGGATATTCAGACCTCTTTGAGGCCTTCGTTGGAAACGGGATTTCTTCATATTATGCTAGACAGAAGATTTCTCAGTAACTTCTTTGTGTTGTGTGTATGCAACTCACAGAGTTCAACCTTCCTTTAGACAGAGCAGATTTGAAACACTCTTTTTGTGGAATTTGCAAGTGGAGATTTCAAGCGCTTCGATGCCAATGGTAGAAAAGGAAATATCTTCGTATAAAAACAAGACAAACTCGTTCCCAGAACACTGCGTAGTGATGTGTGTGTTTAACTCACAGAGTTTAACCTTTCTTTTCATACAGCATTCTGGAAACCCTCTGTTTGTAAAGTCTGCAAGTGGATATTTGGACCTCTTAGATGCCTTCGTTGGAAACGGGATTTCTTCATATAATGCTAGAGGGAAGAATTCTTAGTAACTTCTTTGTGTTGTGTGTATTCAACTGACAGAGTTGAACCTTCCTTTAGACAGAGCAGATTTGAAAGTCTCTTTTTGTGGAATTTGCAAGTGGAGATTTCAAGCGCTTTGAGGCCAAAAGCAGAAAAGGAAATATTTTCCTATAAAAACTCGACAGAATCTTTCTCAGAAACTGCTCTGGGATGTGTGCGTTCAACTCACAGAGTTTAACTTTTCTTTTCATTCAGCAGTTTGGAAACACTCTGTTTGGAAAGTCTGCACGTGGATATTTTGACCTCTTTGAGGCCTTCGTTGGAAACGGGTTTTTTTCATGTAAGGCTAGACAGAAGAAATCTCAGTAACTTCCTTGTGTTGTGTGTATTCAACTGACAGAGTTGAACCTTCCTTTAGACAGAGCAGATTCGAAACACTCTTTTTCTGCAATTTGCAAGTGGAGACTTCAAGCGCTTTGAGGCCAAAGGCAGAAAAGGAAATATCTTCGTATAAAAACCCGACAGAATCATTCTCAGAAACTGCTCTGTGATGTGTGCGTTCAACTCACAGAGTTTAACTTTTCTTTTCATTCAGCAGTTTGGAAACACTCTGTTTGTAAAGTCTGCAAGTGGATATCTTGGCCTCTTAGAGGCCTTCGTTGGAAACGGGTTTTTTCATGTAAGGATAGACAGAGGAATTCCCAGTAACTTCCTTGTGTTGTGTGCATTCAACTCACAGAGTTGAATGATTCTTTACACAGAGCAGATTTGAGACACTCTTTGGGTGGAATTTGTAAGTGGAGAATTCAGCCGCTTTGAGGTCAACGGTAGAAAAGGAAATATCTTCGTATAAAATCTAGACAGAATGATTCTCAGAAACTGTTTTGTGATGTGTGCGTTCAACTCACAGAGTTTAACCTTTCTTTTCAAAGAGCAGTTAGGAAGCACTCTGTTTGTAAAGTCTGCAAGTGGATATTCAGACCTCTTTGAGGCCTTCGTTGGAAACGGGATTTCTTCATATTATGCTAGACAGATGAATTCTCAGTAACTTCCCTTGTGTTGTGTGTATTCAACTCACAGAGTTGAACGATCCTTTACACAGAGCAGATTTGAAACACTGTTTTTCTGGAATTTGCAAGTGGAGATTTCAGCCGCTTTGAGGTCAATGGTAGAAAAGGAAATATCTTCGTATAAAAACTAGACAGAATGATTCTCAGAAACTCCTTTGTGATGTGTGCGTTCAACTCACAGAGTTTAACCTTTCTTTTCACAGAGCAGTTAGGAAACACTCTGTTTGTGAAGCCTGCCAGTGGATATTCGGACCTCTTTGAGGCCTTCGTTGGAAACGGGATTTCTTCATATTATGCTAGACAGAAGATTTCTCAGTAACTTCTTTGTGTTGTGTGTATGCAACTCACAGAGTTCAACCTTCCTTTAGACAGAGCAGATTTGAAACACTCTTTTTGTGGAATTTGCAAGTGGAGATTTCAAGCGCTTCGATGCCAATGGTAGAAAAGGAAATATCTTCGTATAAAAACAAGACAAACTCGTTCCCAGACACTGCGTAGTGATGTGTGTGTTTAACTCACAGAGTTTCACCTTTCTTTTCATACAGCATTCTGGAAACCCTGTGTTTGTAAAGTCTGCAAGTGGATATTTGGACCTCTTAGATGCCTTCGTTGGAAACGGGATTTCTTCATATAATGCTAGAGGGAAGAATTCTTAGTAACTTCTTTGTGTTGTGTGTATTCAACTGACAGAGTTGAACCTTCCTTTAGACAGAGCAGATTTGAAAGTCTCTTTTTGTGGAATTTGCAAGTGGAGATTTCAAGCGCTTTGAGGCCAAAAGCAGAAAAGGAAATATTTTCCTATAAAAACTAGACAGAATCTTTCTCAGAAACTGCTCTGGGATGTGTGCGTTCAACTCACAGAGTTTAACTTTTCTTTTCATTCAGCAGTTTGGAAACACTCTGTTTGGAAAGTCTGCACGTGGATATTTTGACCTCTTTGAGGCCTTCGTTGGAAACGGGTTTTTTTCATGTAAGGCTAGACAGAAGAAATCTCAGTAACTTCCTTGTGTTGTGTGTATTCAACTGACAGAGTTGAACCTTCCTTTAGACAGAGCAGATTCGAAACACTCTTTTTCTGCAATTTGCAAGTGGAGACTTCAAGCGCTTTGAGGCCAAAGGCAGAAAAGGAAATATCTTCGTATAAAAACCCGACAGAATCATTCTCAGAAACTGCTCTGTGATGTGTGCGTTCAACTCACAGAGTTTAACTTTTCTTTTCATTCAGCAGTTTGGAAACACTCTGTTTGTAAAGTCTGCAAGTGGATATCTTGGCCTCTTAGAGGCCTTCGTTGGAAACGGGTTTTTTCATGTAAGGTTAGACAGAGGAATTCCCAGTAACTTCCTTGTGTTGTGTGCACTCAACTCACAGAGTTGAATGATTCTTTACACAGAGCAGATTTGAGACACTCTTTTGGTGGAATTTGTAAGTGGAGAATTCAGCTGCTTTGAGGTCAACGGTAGAAAAGGAAATATCTTCGTATAAAAACTAGACAGAATGATTCTCAGAAACTGTTTTGTGATGTGTGCTTTCAACTCACAGAGTTTAACCTTTCTTTTCAAAGAGCAGTTAGGAAACACTCTGTTTGTAAAGTCTGCAAGTGGATATTCAGACCTCTTTGAGGCCTTCGTTGGAAACGGGATTTCTTCATATTATGCTAGACAGATGAATTCTCAGTAACTTCCTTGTGTTGTGTGTATTCAACTCACAGAGTTGAACGATCCTTTACACAGAGCAGATTTGAAACACTGTTTTTCTGGAATTTGCAAGTGGAGATTTCAGCCGCTTTGAGGTCAATGGTAGAAAAGGAAATATCTTCGTATAAAAACTAGACAGAATGATTCTCAGAAACTCCTTTGTGATGTGTGCGTTCAACTCACAGAGTTTAACTTTTCTTTTCACAGAGCAGTTAGGAAACACTCTGTTTGTGAAGCCTGCCAGTGGATAATCGGACCTCTTTGAGGCCTTCGTTGGAAACGGGATTTCTTCATATTATGCTAGACAGAAGATTTCTCAGTAACTTCTTTGTGTTGTGTGTATGCAACTTACAGAGTTCAACCTTCCTTTAGAGAGAGCATATTTGAAACACTCTTTTTGTGGAATTTGCAAGTGGAGATTTCAAGCGCTTCGATGCAAATGGTAGAAAAGGAAATATCTTCGTATAAAAACAAGACAAACTCGTTCCCAGACACTGCGTAGTGATGTGTGTGTTTAACTCACAGAGTTTAACCTTTCTTTTCATACAGCATTCTGGAAACCCTGTGTTTGTAAAGTCTGCAAGTGGATATTTGGACCTTTTAGATGCCTTCGTTGGAAACGGGATTTCTTCATATAATGCTAGAGGGAAGAATTCTTAGTAACTTCTTTGTGTTGTGTGTATTCAACTGACAGAGTTGAACCTTCCTTTAGACAGAGCAGATTTGAAAGTCTCTTTTTGTGGAATTTGCAAGTGGAGATTTCAAGCGCTTTGAGGCCAAAAGCAGAAAAGGAAATATTTTCCTATAAAAACTCGACAGAATCATTCTCAGAAACTGCTCTGTGATGTGTGCGTTCAACTCACAGAGTTTAACTTTTCTTTTCATTCAGCAGTTTGGAAACACTGTTTGGAAAGTCTGCACGTGGATATTTTGACCTCTTTGAGGCCTTCGTTGGAAACGGGTTTTTTTCATGTAAGGCTAGACAGAAGAAATCTCAGTAACTTCCTTGTGTTGTGTGTATTCAACTGACAGAGTTGAACCTTCCTTTAGACAGAGCAGATTCGAAACACTCTTTTTCTGCAATTTGCAAGTGGAGACTTCAAGCGCTTTGAGGCCAAAGGCAGAAAAGGAAATATCTTCGTATAAAAACCCGACAGAATCATTCTCAGAAACTGCTCTGTGATGTGTGCGTTCAACTCACAGAGTTTAACTTTTCTTTTCATTCAGCAGTTTGGAAACACTCTGTTTGTAAAGTCTGCAAGTGGATATCTTGGCCTCTTAGAGGCCTTCATTGGAAACGGGTTTTTTCATGTAAGGTTAGACAGAGGAATTCCCAGTAACTTCCTTGTGTTGTGTGCACTCAACTCACAGAGTTGAATGATTCTTTACACAGAGCAGATTTGAGACACTCTTTTGGTGGAATTTGTAAGTGGAGAATTCAGACGATTTGAGGTCAACGGTAGAAAAGGAAATATCTTCGTATAAAAACTAGACAGAATGATTCTCAGAAACTTTTTTGTGATGTGTGCGTACAACTCACAGAGTTTAACCTTTCTTTTCAAAGAGCAGTTAGGAAACACTCTGTTTGTAAAGTCTGCAAGTGGATATTCAGACCTCTTTGAGGCCTTCGTTGGAAACGGGATTTCTTCATATTATGCTAGACAGATGAATTCTCAGTAACTTCCTTGTGTTGTGTGTATTCAACTCACAGAGTTGAACGATCCTTTACACAGAGCAGATTTGAAACACTGTTTTTCTGGAATTTGCAAGTGGAGATTTCAGCCGCTTTGAGGTCAATGGTAGAAAAAGAAATATCTTCGTATAAAAACTAGACAGAATGATTCTCAGAAACTCCTTTGTGATGTGTGCGTTCAACTCACAGAGTTTAACCTTTCTTTTCACAGAGCAGTTAGGAAACACTCTGTTTGTGAAGCCTGCCAGTGGATATTCGGACCTCTTTGAGGCCTTCGTTGGAAACGGGATTTCTTCATATTATGCTAGACAGAAGATTTCTCAGTAACTTCTTTGTGTTGTGTGTATGCAACTCACAGAGTTCAACCTTCCTTTAGACAGAGCAGATTTGAAACACTCTTTTTGTGGAATTTGCAAGTGGAGATTTCAAGCGCTTCGATGCCAATGGTAGAAAAGGAAATATCTTCGTATAAAAACAAGACAAACTCGTTCCCAGACACTGCGTAGTGATGTGTGTGTTTAACTCACAGAGTTTCACCTTTCTTTTCATACAGCATTCTGGAAACCCTGTGTTTGTAAAGTCTGCAAGTGGATATTTGGACCTCTTAGATGCCTTCGTTGCAAACGGGATTTCTTCATATAATGCTAGAGGGAAGAATTCTTAGTAACTTCTTTGTGTTGTGTGTATTCAACTGACAGAGTTGAACCTTCCTTTAGACAGAGCAGATTTGAAAGTCTCTTTTTGTGGAATTTGCAAGTGGAGATTTCAAGCGCTTTGAGGCCAAAAGCAGAAAAGGAAATATTTTCCTATAAAACCTCGACAGAATCATTCTCAGAAACTGCTCTGTGATGTGTGTGTTCAACTCACAGAGTTTAACTTTCTTTTCATTCAGCAGTTTGGAAACACTCTGTTTGGAAAGTCTGCACGTGGATATTTTGACCTCTTTGAGGCCTTCGTTGGAAACGGGTTTTTTTCATGTAAGGCTAGACAGAAGAAATCTCAGTAACTTCCTTGTGTTGTGTGTATTCAACTGACAGAGTTGAACCTTCCTTTAGACAGAGCAGATTCGAAACGCTCTTTTTCTGCAATTTGCAAGTGGAGACTTCAAGCGCTTTGAGGCCAAAGGCAGAAAAGGAAATATCTTCGTATAAAAACCCGACAGAATCATTCTCAGAAACTGCTCTGTGATGTGTGCGTTCAACTCACAGAGTTTAACTTTTCTTTTCATTCAGCAGTTTGGAAACACTCTGTTTGTAAAGTCTGCAAGTGGATATCTTGGCCTCTTAGAGGCCTTCGTTGGAAAGGCGTTTTTTCATGTAAGGTTAGACAGAGGAATTCCCAGTAACTTCCTTGTGTTGTGTGCATTCAACTCACAGAGTTGAATGATTCTTTACACAGAGCAGATTTGAGACACACTTTTGGTGGAATTTGTAAGTGGAGAATTCAGCCGCTTTGAGGTCAACGGTAGAAAAGGAAATATCTTCGTATAAAAACTAGAAAGAATGATTCTCAGAAACTGTTTTGTGATGTGTGCGTTCAACTCAAAGAGTTTAACCTTTGTTTTCAAAGAGCAGTTAGGAAACACTCTGTTTGTAAAGTCTGCAAGTGGATATTCAGACCTCTTTGAAGCCTTCGTTGGAAACGGGATTTCATCATATTATGCTAGACAGATGAATTCTCAGTAACTTCCTTGTGTTGTGTGTATTCAACTCACAGAGTTGAACGATCCTTTACACAGAGCAGATTTGAAACACTGTTTTTCTGGAATTTGCAAGTGGAGATTTCAGCCGCTTTGAGGTCAATGGTAGAAAAGGAAATATCTTCGTATAAAAACTGGACAGAATGATTCTCAGAAACTCCTTTGTGATGTGTGCGTTCAACTCACAGAGTTTAACCTTTCTTTTCACAGAGCAGTTAGGAAACACTCTGTGAAGCCTGCCAGTGGATATTCGGACCTCTTTGAGGCCTTCGTTGGAAACGGGATTTCTTCATATTATGCTAGACAGAAGATTTCTCAGTAACTTCTTTGGGTTGTGTGTATGAAACTCACAGAGTTCAACCTTCCTTTAGACAGAGCAGATTTGAAACACTCTTTTTGTGGAATTTGCAAGTGGAGATTTCAAGCGCTTCGATGCCAATGGTAGAAAAGGAAATATCTTCGTATAAAAACAAGACAAACTCGTTCCCAGACACTGCGTAGTGATGTGTGTGTTTAACTCACAGAGTTTAACCTTTCTTTTCATACAGCATTCTGGAAACCCTGTGTTTGTAAAGTCTGCAAGTGGATATTTGGACCTCTTAGATGCCTTCTTTGGAAATGGGATTTCTTCATATAATGCTAGAGGGAAGAATTCTTAGTAACTTCTTTGTGTTGTGTGTATTCAACTGACAGAGTTGAACCTTCCTTTAGACAGAGCAGATTTGAAAGTCTCTTTTTGTGGAATTTGCAAGTGGAGATTTCAAGCGCTTTGAGGCCAAAAGCAGAAAAGGAAATATTTTCCTATAAAAACTAGACAGAATCTTTCTCAGAAACTGCTCTGGGATGTGTGCGTTCAACTCACAGAGTTTAACTTTTCTTTTCATTCAGCAGTTTGGAAACACCCTGTTTGGAAAGTCTGCACGTGGATATTTTGACCTCTTTGAGGCCTTCGTTGGAAACGGGTTTTTTTCATGTAAGGCTAGACAGAAGAAATCTCAGTAACTTCCTTGTGTTGTGTGTATTCAACTGACAGAGTTGAACCTTCCTTTAGACAGAGCAGATTCGAAACACTCTTTTTCTGCAATTTGCAAGTGGAAACTTCAAGCGCTTTGAGGCCAAAGGCAGAAAAGGAAATATCTTCGTATAAAAACCCGACAGAATCATTCTCAGAAACTGCTCTGTGATGTGTGCGTTCAACTCACAGAGTTTAACTTTTCTTTTCATTCAGCAGTTTGGAAACACTCTGTTTGTAAAGTCTGCAAGTGGATATCTTGGCCTCTTAGAGGCCTTCGTTGGAAACGGGTTTTTTCATGTAAGGTTAGACAGAGGAATTCCCAGTAACTTCCTTGTGTTGTGTGCATTCAACTCACAGAGTTGAATGATTCTTTACACAGAGCAGATTTGAGACACTCTTTTGGTGGAATTTGTAAGTGGAGAATTCAGCCGCTTTGAGGTCAACGGTAGAAAAGGAAATATCTTCGTATAAAAACTAGACAGAATGATTCTCAGAAACTGTTTTGTGATGTGTGCGTTCAACTCACAGAGTTTAACCTTTCTTTTCAAAGAGCAGTTAGGAAACACTCTGTTTGTAAAGTCTGCAAGTGGATATTCAGACCTCTTTGAGGCCTTCGTTGGAAACGGGATTTCTTCATATTATGCTAGACAGATGAATTCTCAGTAACTTCCTTGTGTTGTGTGTATTCAACTCACAGAGTTGAACGATCCTTTACACAGAGCAGATTTGAAACACTGTTTTTCTGGAATTTGCAAGTGGAGATTTCAGCCGCTTTGAGGTCAATGGTAGAAAAGGAAATATCTTCGTATAAAAACTAGACAGAATGATTCTCAGAAACTCCTTTGTGATGTGTGCGTTCAACTCACAGAGTTTAACCTTTCTTTTCACAGAGCAGTTAGGAAACACTCTGTTTGTGAAGCCTGCCAGTGGATATTCGGACCTCTTTGAGGCCTTCGTTGGAAACGGGATTTCTTCATATTATGCTAGACAGAAGATTTCTCAGTAACTTCTTTGTGTTGTGTGTATACAACTCACAGAGTTCAACCTTCCTTTAGACAGCGCAGATTTGAAACACTCTTTTTGTGGAATTTGCAAGTGGAGATTTCAAGCGCTTCGATGCCAATGGTAGAAAAGGAAATATCTTCGTATAAAAACAAGACAAACTCGTTCCCAGACACTGCGTAGTGATGTGTGTGTTTAACTCACAGAGTTTAACCTTTCTTTTCATACAGCATTCTGGAAACCCTCTGTTTGTAAAGTCTGCAAGTGGATATTTGGACCTCTTAGATGCCTTCGTTGGAAACGGGATTTCTTCATATAATGCTAGAGGGAAGAATTCTTAGTAACTTCTTTGTGTTGTGTGTATTCAACTGACAGAGTTGAACCTTCCTTTAGACAGAGCAGATTTGAAAGTCTCTTTTTGTGGAATTTGCAAGTGGAGATTTCAAGCGCTTTGAGGCCAAAAGCAGAAAAGGAAATATTTTCCTATAAAAACTAGACAGAATCTTTCTCAGAAACTGCTCTGGGATGTGTGCGTTCAACTCACAGAGTTTAACTTTTCTTTTCATTCAGCAGTTTGGAAACACTCTGTTTGGAATGTCTGCACGTGGATATTTTGACCTCTTTGAGGCCTTCCTTGGAAACGGGTTTTTTTCATGTAAGGCTAGACAGAAGAAATCTCAGTAACTTCCTTGTGTTGTGTGTATTCAACTGACAGAGTTGAACCTTCTTTTAGACAGAGCAGATTCGAAACACTCTTTTTCTGCAATTTGCAAGTGGAGACTTCAAGCGCTTTGAGGCCAAAGGCAGAAAAGGAAATATCTTCGTATAAAAACCCGACAGAATCATTCTCAGAAACTGCTCTGTGATGTGTGCGTTCAACTCACAGAGTTTAACTTTTCTTTTCATTCAGCAGTTTGGAAACACTCTGTTTGTAAAGTCTGCAAGTGGATATCTTGGCCTCTTAGAGGCCTTCGTTGGAAACGGGTTTTTTCATGTAAGGTTAGACAGAGGAATTCCCAGTAACTTCCTTGTGTTGTGTCCATTCAACTCACAGAGTTGAATGATTCTTTACACAGAGCAGATTTGAGACACTCTTTGGGTGGAATTTGTAAGTGGAGAATTCAGCTGCTTTGAGGTCAACGGTAGAAAAGGAAATATCTTCGTATAAAAACTAGACAGAATGATTCTCAGAAACTGTTTTGTGATGTGTGCGTTCAACTCACAGAGTTTAACCTTTCTTTTCAAAGAGCAGTTAGGAAACACTCTGTTTGTAAAGTCTGCAAGTGGATATTCAGACCTCTTTGAGGCCTTCGTTGGAAACGGGATTTCTTCATATTATGCTAGACAGAGAATTCTCAGTAACTTCCTTGTGTTGTGTGTATTCAACTCACAGAGTTGAACGATCCTTTACACAGAGCAGATTTGAAACACTGTTTTTCTGGAATTTGCAAGTGGAGATTTCAGCCGCTTTGAGGTCAATGGTAGAAAAGGAAATATCTTCGTATAAAAACTAGACAGAATGATTCTCAGAAACTCCTTTGTGATGTGTGCGTTCAACTCACAGAGTTTAACCTTTCTTTTCACAGAGCAGTTAGGAAACACTCTGTTTGTGAAGCCTGCCAGTGGATATTCGGACCTCTTTGAGGCCTTCGTTGGAAACGGGATTTCTTCATATTATGCTAGACAGAAGATTTCTCAGTAACTTCTTTGTGTTGTGTGTATGCAACTCACAGAGTTCAACCTTCCTTTAGACAGAGCAGATTTGAAACACTCTTTTTGTGGAATTTGCAAGTGGAGATTTCAAGCGCTTCGATGCCAATGGTAGAAAAGGAAATATCTTCATATAAAAACAAGACAAACTCGTTCCCAGACACTGCGTAGTGATGTGTGTGTTTAACTCACAGAGTTTCACCTTTCTTTTCATACAGCATTCTGGAAACCCTGTGTTTGTAAAGTCTGCAAGTGGATATTTGGACCTCTTAGATGCCTTCGTTGGAAACGGGATTTCTTCATATAATGCTAGAGGGAAGAATTCTTAGTAACTTCTTTGTGTTGTGTGTATTCAACTGACAGAGTTGAACCTTCCTTTAGACAGAGCAGATTTGAAAGTCTCTTTTTGTGGAATTTGCAAGTGGAGATTTCAAGCGCTTTGAGGCCAAAAGCAGAAAAGGAAATATTTTCCTATAAAAACTAGACAGAATCTTTCTCAGAAACTGCTCTGGGATGTGTGCGTTCAACTCACAGAGTTTAACTTTTCTTTTCATTCAGCAGTTTGGAAACACTCTGTTTGGAAAGTCTGCACGTGGATATTTTGACCTCTTTGAGGCCTTCGTTGGAAACGGGTTTTTTTCATGTAAGGCTAGACAGAAGAAATCTCAGTAACTTCCTTGTGTTGTGTGTATTCAACTGACAGAGTTGAACCTTCCTTTAGACAGAGCAGATTCGAAACACTCTTTTTCTGCAATTTGCAAGTGGAGACTTCAAGCGCTTTGAGGCCAAAGGCAGAAAAGGAAATATCTTCGTATAAAAACCCGACAGAATCATTCTCAGAAACTGCTCTGTGATGTGTGCGTTCAACTCACAGAGTTTAACTTTTCTTTTCATTCAGCAGTTTGGAAACACTCTGTAAAGTCTGCAAGTGGATATCTTGGCCTCTTAGAGGCCTTCGTTGGAAGCGGGTTTTTTCATGTAAGGTTAGACAGAGGAATTCCCAGTAACTTCCTTGTGTTGTGTGCATTCAACTCACAGAGTTGAATGATTCTTTACACAGAGCAGATTTGAGACACTCTTTTGGTGGAATTTGTAAGTGGAGAATTCAGCCGCTTTGAGGTCAACGGTAGAAAAGGAAATATCTTCGTATAAAAACTAGACAGAATGATTCTCAGAAAGTGTTTTGTGATGTGTGCATTCAACTCACAGAGTTTAACCTTTCTTTTCAAAGAGCAGTTAGGAAACACTCTGTTTGTAAAGTCTGCAAGTGGATATTCAGACCTCTTTGAGGCCTTCGTTGGAAACGGGATTTCTTCATATTATGCTAGACAGATGAATTCTCAGTAACTTCCTTGTGTTGTGTGTATTCAACTCACAGAGTTAAACGATCCTTTACACAGAGCAGATTTGAAACACTGTTTTTCTGGAATTTGCAAGTGGAGATTTCAGCCGCTTTGAGGTCAATGGTAGAAAAGGAAATATCTTCGTATAAAAACTAGACAGAATGATTCTCAGAAACTCCTTTGTGATGTGTGCGTTCAACTCACAGAGTTTAACCTTTCTTTTCATACAGCATTCTGGAAACCCTGTGTTTGTAAAGTCTGCAAGTGGATATTTGGACCTCTTAGATGCCTTCGTTGGAAACGGGATTTCTTCATATAATGCTAGAGGGAAGAATTCTTAGTAACTTCTTTGTGTTGTGTGTATTCAACTGACAGAGTTGAACCTTCCTTTAGACAGAGCAGATTTGAAAGTCTCTTTTTGTGGAATTTGCAAGTGGAGATTTCAAGCGCTTTGAGGCCAAAAGCAGAAAAGGAAATATTTTCCTATAAAAACTAGACAGAATCTTTCTCAGAAACTGCTCTGGGATGTGTGTGTTCAACTCACAGAGTTTAACTTTCTTTTCATTCAGCAGTTTGGAAACACTCTGTTTGGAAAGTCTGCACGTGGATATTTTGACCTCTTTGAGGCCTTCGTTGGAAACGGGTTTTTTTCATGTAAGGCTAGACAGAAGAAATCTCAGTAACTTCCTTGTGTTGTGTGTATTCAACTGACAGAGTTGAACCTTCCTTTAGACAGAGCAGATTCGAAACACTCTTTTTCTGCAATTTGCAAGTGGAGACTTCAAGCGCTTTGAGGCCAAAGGCAGAAAAGGAAATATCTTCGTATAAAAACCCGACAGAATCATTCTCAGAAACTGCTCTGTGATGTGTGCGTTCAACTCACAGAGTTTAACTTTTCTTTTCATTCAGCAGTTTGGAAACACTCTGTTTGTAAAGTCTGCAAGTGGATATCTTGGCCTCTTAGAGGCCTTTGTTGGAAACGGGTTTTCTCATGTAAGGATAGACAGAGGAATTCCCAGTAACTTCCTTGTGTTGTGTGCATTCAACTCACAGAGTTGAATGATTCTTTACACAGAGCAGATTTGAGACACTCTTTTGGTGGAATTTGTAAGTGGAGAATTCAGCCGCTTTGAGGTCAACGGTAGAAAAGGAAATATCTTCGTATAAAAACTAGACAGAATGATTCTCAGAAACTGTTTTGTGATGTGTGCGTTCAACTCACAGAGTTTAACCTTTCTTTTCAAAGAGCAGTTAGGAAACACTCTGTTTGTAAAGTCTGCAAGTGGATATTCAGACCTCTTTGAGGCCTTCGTTGGAAACGGGATTTCTTCATATTATGCTAGACAGATGAATTCTCAGTAACTTCCTTGTGTTGTGTGTATTCAACTCACAGAGTTGAACGATCCTTTACACAGAGCAGATTTGAAACACTGTTTTTCTGGAATTTGCAAGTGGAGATTTCAGCCGCTTTGAGGTCAATGGTAGAAAAGGAAATATCTTCGTATAAAAACTAGACAGAATGATTCTCAGAAACTCCTTTGTGATGTGTGCGTTCAACTCACAGAGTTTAACCTTTCTTTTCACAGAGCAGTTAGGAAACACTCTGTTTGTGAAGCCTGCCAGTGGATATTCGGACCTCTTTGAGGCCTTCGTTGGAAACGGGATTTCTTCATATTATGCTAGACAGAAGATTTCTCAGTAACTTCTTTGTGTTGTGTGTATGCAACTCACAGAGTTCAACCTTCCTTTAGACAGAGCAGATTTGAAACACTCTTTTTGTGGAATTTGCAAGTGGAGATTTCAAGCGCTTCGATGCCAATGGTAGAAAAGGAAATATCTTCGTATAAAAACAAGACAAACTCGTTCCCAGACACTGCGTAGTGATGTGTGTGTTTAACTCACAGAGTTTAACCTTTCTTTTCATACAGCATTCTGGAAACCCTGTGTTTGTAAAGTCTGCAAGTGGATATTTGGACCTCTTAGATGCCTTCGTTGGAAACGGGATTTCTTCATATAATGCTAGAGGGAAGAATTCTTAGTAACTTCTTTGTGTTGTGTGTATTCAACTGACAGAGTTGAACCTTCCTTTAGACAGAGCAGATTTGAAAGTCTCTTTTTGTGGAATTTGCAAGTGGAGATTTCAAGCGCTTTGAGGCCGAAAGCAGAAAAGGAAATATTTTCCTATAAAAACTCGACAGAATCTTTCTCAGAAACTGCTCTGGGATGTGTGCGTTCAACTCACAGAGTTTAACTTTTCTTTTCATTCAGCAGTTTGGAAACACTCTGTTTGGAAGTCTGCACGTGGATATTTTGACCTCTTTGAGGCCTTCTTTGGAAACGGGTTTTTTTCATGTAAGGCTAGACAGAAGAAATCTCAGTAACTTCCTTGTGTTGTGTGTATTCAACTGACAGAGTTGAACCTTCCTTTAGACAGAGCAGATTCGAAACACTCTTTTTCTGCAATTTGCAAGTGGAGACTTCAAGCGCTTTGAGGCCAAAGGCAGAAAAGGAAATATCTTCGTATAAAAACCCGACAGAATCATTCTCAGAAACTGCTCTGTGATGTGTGCGTTCAACTCACAGAGTTTAACTTTTCTTTTCATTCAGCAGTTTGGAAACACTCTGTTTGTAAAGTCTGCAAGTGGATATCTTGGCCTAATTAGAGGCCTTCGTTGGAAACGGGTTTTTTCATGTAAGGTTAGACAGAGGAATTCCCAGTAACTTCCTTGTGTTGTGTGCATTCAACTCACAGAGTTGAATGATTCTTTACACAGAGCAGATTTGAGACACTCTTTTGGTGGAATTTGTAAGTGGAGAATTCAGCCGCTTTGAGGTCAACGGTAGAAAAGGAAATATCTTCGTATAAAAACTAGACAGAATGATTCTCAGAAACTGTTTTGTGATGTGTGCGTTCAACTCACAGAGTTTAACCTTTCTTTTCAAAGAGCAGTTAGGAAACACTCTGTTTGTAAAGTCTGCAAGTGGATATTCAGACCTCTTTGAAGCCTTCGTTGGAAACGGGATTTCTTCATATTATGCTAGACAGATGAATTCTCAGTAACTTCCTTGTGTTGTGTGTATTCAACTCACAGAGTTGAACGATCCTTTACACAGAGCAGATTTGAAACACTGTTTTTCTGGAATTTGCAAGTGGAGATTTCAGCCGCTTTGAGGTCAATGGTAGAAAAGGAAATATCTTCGTATAAAAACTAGACAGAATGATTCTCAGAAACTCCTTTGTGATGTGTGCGTTCAACTCACAGAGTTTAACCTTTCTTTTCACAGAGCAGTTAGGAAACACTCTGTTTGTGAAGCCTGCCAGTGGATATTCGGACCTCTTTGAGGCCTTCGTTGGAAACGGGATTTCTTCATATTATGATAGACAGAAGACTTCTCAGTAACTTCTTTGTGTTGTGTGTATGCAACTCACAGAGTTCAACCTTCCTTTAGACAGAGCAGATTTGAAACACTCTTTTTGTGGAATTTGCAAGTGGAGATTTCAAGCGCTTCGATGCCAATGGTAGAAAAGGAAATATCTTCGTAGAAAAACAAGACAAACTCGTTCCCAGACACTGCGTAGTGATGTGTGTGTTTAACTCACTGAGTTTAACCTTTCTTTTCATACAGCATTCTGGAAACCCTCTGTTTGTAAAGTCTGCAAGTGGATATTTGGACCTCTTAGATGCCTTCGTTGGAAACGGGATTTCTTCGTATAATGCTAGAGGGAAGAATTCTTAGTAACTTCTTTGTGTTGTGTGTATTCAACTGACAGAGTTGAACCTTCCTTTAGACAGAGCAGATTTGAAAGTCTCTTTTTGTGGAATTTGCAAGTGGAGATTTCAAGCGCTTTGAGGCCAAAAGCAGAAAAGGAAATATTTTCCTATAAAAACTAGACAGAATCTTTCTCAGAAACTGCTCTGGGATGTGTGCGTTCAACTCACAGAGTTTAACTTTTCTTTTCATTCAGCAGTTTGGAAACACTCTGTTTGGAAAGTCTGCACGTGGATATTGTGACCTCTTTGAGGCCTTCGTTGGAAACGGGTTTTTTTCATGTAAGGCTAGACAGAAGAAATCTCAGTAACTTCCTTGTGTTGTGTGTATTCAACTGACAGAGTTGAACCTTCCTTTAGACAGAGCAGATTCGAAACACTCTTTTTCTGCAATTTGCAAGTGGAGACTTCAAGCGCTTTGAGGCCAAAGGCAGAAAAGGAAATATCTTCGTATAAAAACCCGACAGAATCATTCTCAGAAACTGCTCTGTGATGTGTGCGTTCAACTCACAGAGTTTAACTTTTCTTTTCATTCAGCAGTTTGGAAACACTCTGTTTGTAAAGTCTGCAAGTGGATATCTTGGCCTCTTAGAGGCCTTCGTTGGAAACGGGTTTTTTCATGTAAGGTTAGACAGAGGAATTCCCCACTAACTTCCTTGTGTTGTGTGCATTCAACTCACAGAGTTGAATGATTCTTTACACAGAGCAGATTTGAGACACTCTTTTGGTGGAATTTGTAAGTGGAGAATTCAGCCGCTTTGATGTCAACGGTAGAAAAGGAAATATCTTCGTATAAAAACTAGACAGAATGATTCTCAGAAACTGTTTTGTGATGTGTGCGTTCAACTCACAGAGTTTAACCTTTCTTTTCAAAGAGCAGTTAGGAAACACTCTGTTTGTAAAGTCTGCAAGTGGATATTCAGACCTCTTTGAGGCCTTCGTTGGAAACGGGATTTCTTCATATTATGCTAGACAGATGAATTCTCAGTAACTTCCTTGTGTTGTGTGTATTCAACTCACAGAGTTAAACGATCCTTTACACAGAGCAGATTTGAAACACTGTTTTTCTGGAATTTGCAAGTGGAGATTTCAGCCCCTTTGAGGTCAATGGTAGAAAAGGAAATATCTTCGTATAAAAACTAGACAGAATGATTCTCAGAAACTCCTTTGTGATGTGTGCGTTCAACTCACAGAGTTTAACCTTTCTTTTCACAGAGCAGTTAGGAAACACTCTGTTTGTGAAGCCTGCCAGTGGATATTCGGACCTCTTTGAGGCCTTCGTTGGAAACGGGATTTCTTCATATTATGCTAGACAGAAGATTTCTCAGTAACTTCTTTGTGTTGTGTGTATGCAACTCACAGAGTTCAACCTTCCTTTAGACAGAGCAGATTTGAAACACTCTTTTTGTGGAATTTGCAAGTGGAGATTTCAAGCGCTTCGATGCCAATGGTAGAAAAGGAAATATCTTCGCATAAAAACAAGACAAACTCGTTCCCAGACACTGCGTAGTGATGTGTGTGTTTAACTCACAGAGTTTAACCTTTCTTTTCATACAGCATTCTGGAAACCCTGTGTTTGTAAAGTCTGCAAGTGGATATTTGGACCTCTTAGATGCCTTCGGTTGGAAACGGGATTTCTTCATATAATGCTAGAGGGAAGAATTCTTAGTAACTTTTTTCTGTTGTGTGTATTCAACTGACAGAGTTGAACCTTCCTTTAGACAGAGCAGATTTGAAAGTCTCTTTTTGTGGAATTTGCAAGTGGAGATTTCAAGCGCTTTGAGGCCAAAAGCAGAAAAGGAAATATTTTCCTATAAAAACTAGACAGAATCTTTCTCAGAAACTGCTCTGGGATGTGTGCGTTCAACTCACAGAGTTTAACTATTCTTTCCATTCAGCAGTTTGGAAACACTCTGTTTGGAAAGTCTGCACGTGGATATTTTGACCTCTTTGAGGCCTTCGTTGGAAACGGGTTTTTTCATGTAAGGCTAGACAGAAGAAATCTCAGTAACTTCCTTGTGTTGTGTGTATTCAACTGACAGAGTTGAACCTTCCTTTAGACAGAGCAGATTCGAAACACTCTTTTTCTGCAATTTGCAAGTGGAGACTTCAAGCGCTTTGAGGCCAAAGGCAGAAAAGGAAATATCTTCGTATAAAAACCCGACAGAATCATTCTCAGAAACTGCTCTGTGATGTGTGCGTTCAACTCACAGAGTTTAACTTTTCTTTTCATTCAGCAGTTTGGAAACACTCTGTTTGTAAAGTCTGCAAGTGGATATCTTGGCCTCTTAGAGGCCTTCGTTGGAAACGGGTTTTTTCATGTAAGGTTAGACAGAGGAATTCCCAGTAACTTCCCTTGTGTTGTGTGCATTCAACTCACAGAGTTGAATGATTCTTTACACAGAGCAGATTTGAGACACTCTTTGGGTGGAATTTGTAAGTGGAGAATTCAGCCGCTTTGAGGTCAACGGTAGAAAAGGAAATACCTTCGTATAAAAACTAGACAGAATGATTCTCAGAAACTGTTTTGTGATGTGTGCGTTCAACTCACAGAGTTTAACCTTTCTTTTCAAAGAGCAGTTAGGAAACACTCTGTTTGTAAAGTCTGCAAGTGGATATTCAGACCTCTTTGAGGCCTTCGTTGGAAACGGGATTTCTTCATATTATGCTAGACAGATGAATTCTCAGTAACTTCCTTGTGTTGTGTGTATTCAACTCACAGAGTTGAACGATCCTTTACACAGAGCAGATTTGAAACACTGTTTTTCTGGAATTTGCAAGTGGAGATTTCAGCCGCTTTGTGGTCAATGGTAGAAAAAGAAATATCTTCATATAAAAACTAGACAGAATGATTCTCAGAAACTCCTTTGTGATGTGTGCGTTCAACTCACAGAGTTTAACCTTTCTTTTCACAGAGCAGTTAGGAAACACTCTGTTTGTGAAGCCTGCCAGTGGATATTCGGACCTCTTTGAGGCCTTCGTTGGAAACGGGATTTCTTCATATTATGCTAGACAGAAGATTTCTCAGTAACTTCTTTGTGTTGTGTGTATGCAACTCACAGAGTTCAACCTTCCTTTAGACAGAGCAGATTTGAAACACTCTTTTTGTGGAATTTGCAAGTGGAGATTTCAAGCGCTTCGATGCCAATGGTAGAAAAGGAAATATCTTCGTATAAAAACAAGACAAACTCGTTCCCAGACACTGCGTAGTGATGTGTGTGTTTAACTCACAGAGTTTCACCTTTCTTTTCATACAGCATTCTGGAAACCCTCTGTTTGTAAAGTCTGCAAGTGGATATTTGGACCTCTTAGATGCCTTCGTTGCAAACGGGATTTCTTCATATAATGCTAGAGGGAAGAATTCTTAGTAACTTCTTTGTGTTGTGTGTATTCAACTGACAGAGTTGAACCTTCCTTTAGACACAGCAGATTTGAAAGTCTCTTTTTGTGGAATTTGCAAGTGGAGATTTCAAGCGCTTTGAGGCCAAAAGCAGAAAAGGAAATATTTTCCTATAAAAACTCGACAGAATCTTTCTCAGAAACTGCTCTGGGATGTGTGCGTTCAACTCACAGAGTTTAACTTTTCTTTTCATTCAGCAGTTTGGAAACACTCTGTTTGGAAAGTCTGCACGTGGATATTTTGACCTCTTTGAGGCCTTCGTTGGAAACGGGTTTTTTTCATGTAAGGCTAGACAGAAGAAATCTCAGTAACTTCCTTGTGTTGTGTGTATTCAACTGACAGAGTTGAACCTTCCTTTAGACAGAGCAGATTCGAAACACTGTTTTTCTGCAATTTGCAAGTGGAGACTTCAAGCGCTTTGAGGCCAAAGGCAGAAAAGGAAATATCTTCGTATAAAAACCCGACAGAATCATTCTCAGAAACTGCTCTGTGATGTGTGCGTTCAACTCACAGAGTTTAACTTTTCTTTTCATTCAGCAGTTTGGAAACACTCTGTTTGTAAAGTCTGCAAGTGGATATCTTGGCCTCTTAGAGGCCTTCGTTGGAAACGGGTTTTTTCATGTAAGGTTAGACAGAGGAATTCCCAGTAACTTCCTTGTGTTGTGTGCATTCAACTCACAGAGTTGAATGATTCTTTACACAGAGCAGATTTGAGACACTCTTTTGGTGGAATTTGTAAGTGGAGAATTCAGCCGCTTTGAGGTCAACGGTAGAAAAGGAAATATCTTCGTATAAAAACTAGACAGAATGATTCTCAGAAACTGTTTTGTGATGTGTGCGTTCAACTCACAGAGTTTAACCTTTCTTTTCAAAGAGCAGTTAGGAAACACTCTGTTTGTAAAGTCTGCAAGTGGATATTCAGACCTCTTTGAGGCCTTCGTTGGAAACGGGATTTCTTCATATTATGCTAGACAGATGAATTCTCAGTAACTTCCTTGTGTTGTGTGTATTCAACTCACAGAGTTGAACGATCCTTTACACAGAGCAGATTTGAAACACTGTTTTTCTGGAATTTGCAAGTGGAGATTTCAGCCGCTTTGAGGTCAATGGTAGAAAAGGAAATATCTTCGTATAAAAACTAGACAGAATGATTCTCAGAAACTCCTTTGTGATGTGTGCGTTCAACTCACAGAGTTTAACCTTTCTTTTCACAGAGCAGTTAGGAAACACTCTGTTTGTGAAGCCTGCCAGTGGATATTCGGACCTCTTTGAGGCCTTCGTTGGAAACGGGATTTCTTCATATTATGCTAGACAGAAGATTTCTCAGTAACTTCTTTGTGTTGTGTGTATGCAACTCACAGAGTTCAACCTTCCTTTAGAGAGAGCAGATTTGAAACACTCTTTTTGTGGAATTTGCAAGTGGAGATTTCAAGCGCTTCGATGCCAATGGTAGAAAAGGAAATATCTTCGTATAAAAACAAGACAAACTCGTTCCCAGACACTGCGTAGTGATGTGTGTGTTTAACTCACAGAGTTTAACCTTTCTTTTCATACAGCATTCTGGAAACCCTGTGTTTGTAAAGTCTGCAAGTGGATATTTGGACCTCTTAGATGCCTTCGTTGGAAACGGGATTTCTTCATATAATGCTAGAGGGAAGAATTCTTAGTAACTTCTTTGTGTTGTGTGTATTCAACTGACAGAGTTGAACCTTCCTTTAGACAGAGCAGATTTGAAAGTCTCTTTTTGTGGAATTTGCAAGTGGAGATTTCAAGCGCTTTGAGGCCAAAAGCAGAAAAGGAAATATTTTCCTATAAAAACTCGACAGATCATTCTCAGAAACTGCTCTGTGATGTGTGTGTTCAACTCACAGAGTTTAACTTTCTTTTCATTCAGCAGTTTGGAAACACTCTGTTTGGAAAGTCTGCACGTGGATATTTTGACCTCTTTGAGGCCTTCGTTGGAAACGGGTTTTTTCATGTAAGGCTAGACAGAAGAAATCTCAGTAACTTCCTTGTGTTGTGTGTATTCAACTGACAGAGTTGAACCTTCCTTTAGACAGAGCAGATTCGAAACACTCTTTTTCTGCAATTTGCAAGTGGAGACTTCAAGTGCTTTGAGGCCAAAGGCAGAAAAGGAAATATCTTCGTATAAAAACCCGACAGAATCATTCTCAGAAACTGCTCTGTGATGTGTGCGTTCAACTCACAGAGTTTAACTTTTCTTTTCATTCAGCAGTTTGGAAACACTCTGTTTGTAAAGTCTGCAAGTGGATATCTTGGCCTCTTAGAGGCCTTCGTTGGAAGCGGGTTTTTTCATGTAAGGATAGACAGAGGAATTCCCAGTAACTTCCTTGTGTTGTGTGCATTCAACTCACAGAGTTGAATGATTCTTTACACAGAGCAGATTTGAGACACTCTTTTGGTGGAATTTGTAAGTGGAGAATTCAGCCGCTTTGAGGTCAACGGTAGAAAAGGAAATATCTTCGTATAAAAACTAGACAGAATGATTCTCAGAAACTGTTTTGTGATGTGTGCGTTCAACTCACAGAGTTTAACCTTTCTTTTCAAAGAGCAGTTAGGAAACACTCTGTTTGTAAAGTCTGCAAGTGGATATTCAGACCTCTTTGAGGCCTTCGTTGGAAACGGGATTTCTTCATATTATGCTAGACAGATGAATTCTCAGTAACTTCCTTGTGTTGTGTGTATTCAACTCACAGAGTTGAACGATCCTTTACACAGAGCAGATTTGAAACACTGTTTTTCTGGAATATGCAAGTGGAGATTTCAGCCGCTTTGAGGTCAATGGTAGAAAAGGAAATATCTTCGTATAAAAACTAGACAGAATGATTCTCAGAAACTCCTTTGTGATGTGTGCGTTCAACTCACAGAGTTTAACCTTTCTTTTCACAGAGCAGTTAGGAAACACTCTGTTTGTGAAGCCTGCCAGTGGATATTCGGACCTCTTTGAGGCCTTCGTTGGAAACGGGATTTCTTCATATTATGCTAGACAGAAGATTTCTCAGTAACTTCTTTGTGTTGTGTGTATGCAACTCACAGAGTTCAACCTTCCTTTAGAAAGAGCAGATTTGAAACACTCTTTTTGTGGAATTTGCAAGTGGAGATTTCAAGCGCTTCGATGCCAATGGTAGAAAAGGAAATATCTTCGTATAAAAACAAGACAAACTCGTTCCCAGACACTGCGTAGTGATGTGTGTGTTTAACTCACAGAGTTTAACCTTTCTTTTCATACAGCATTCTGGAAACCCTGTGTTTGTAAAGTCTGCAAGTGGATATTTGGACCTCTTAGATGCCTTCGTTGGAAACGGGATTTCTTCATATAATGCTAGAGGGAAGAATTCTTAGTAACTTCTTTGTGTTGTGTGTATTCAACTGACAGAGTTGAACCTTCCTTTAGACAGAGCAGATTTGAAAGTCTCTTTTTGTGGAATTTGCAAGTGGAGATTTCAAGCGCTTTGAGGCCAAAAGCAGAAAAGGAAATATTTTCCTATAAAAACTCGACAGAATCTTTCTCAGAAACTGCTCTGGGATGTGTGCGTTCAACTCACAGAGTTTAACTTTTCTTTTCATTCAGCAGTTTGGAAACACTCTGTTTGGAAAGTCTGCACGTGGATATTTTGACCTCTTTGAGGCCTTCGTTGGAAACGGGTTTTTTTCATGTAAGGCTAGACAGAAGAAATCTCAGTAACTTCCTTGTGTTGTGTGTATTCAACTGACAGAGTTGAACCTTCCTTTAGACAGAGCAGATTCGAAACACTCTTTTTCTGCAATTTGCAAGTGGAGACTTCAAGCGCTTTGAGGCCAAAGGCAGAAAAGGAAATATCTTCGTATAAAAACCCGACAGAATCATTCTCAGAAACTGCTCTGTGATGTGTGCGTTCAACTCACAGAGTTTAACTTTTCTTTTCATTCAGCAGTTTGGAAACACTCTGTTTGTAAAGTCTGCAAGTGGATATCTTGGCCTCTTAGAGGCCTTCGTTGGAAACGGGTTTTTTCATGTAAGGATAGACAGAGGAATTCCCAGTAACTTCCTTGTGTTGTGTGCACTCAACTCACAGAGTTGAATGATTCTTTACACAGAGCAGATTTGAGACACTCTTTTGGTGGAATTTGTAAGTGGAGAATTCAGCTGCTTTGAGGTCAACGGTAGAAAAGGAAATATCTTCGTATAAAAACTAGACAGAATGATTCTCAGAAACTGTTTTGTGATGTGTGCGTTCAACTCACAGAGTTTAACCTTTCTTTTCAAAGAGCAGTTAGGAAACACTCTGTTTGTAAAGTCTGCAAGTGGATATTCAGACCTCTTTGAGGCCTTCGTTGGAAACGGGATTTCTTCATATTATGCTAGACAGATGAATTCTCAGTAACTTACTTGTGTTGTGTGTATTCAACTCACAGAGTTGAACGATCCTTTACACAGAGCAGATTTGAAACACTGTTTTTCTGGAATTTGCAAGTGGAGATTTCAGCCGCTTTGAGGTCAATGGTAGAAAAGGAAATATCTTCGTATAAAAACTAGACAGAATGATTCTCAGAAACTCCTTTGTGATGTGTGCGTTCAACTCACAGAGTTTAACCTTTCTTTTCACAGAGCAGTTAGGAAACACTCTGTTTGTGAAGCCTGCCAGTGGATATTCGGACCTCTTTCAGGCCTTCGTTGGAAACGGGATTTCTTCATATTATGCTAGACAAAAGATTTCTCAGTAACTTCTTTGTGTTGTGTGTATGCAACTCACAGAGTTCAACCTTCCTTTAGACAGAGCAGATTTGAAACACTCTTTTTGTGGAATTTGCAAGTGGAGATTTCAAGCGCTTCGATGCCAATGGTAGAAAGGGAAATATCTTCGTATAAAAACAAGACAAACTCGTTCCCAGACACTGCGTAGTGATGTGTGTGTTTAACTCACAGAGTTTAACCTTTCTTTTCATACAGCATTCTGGAAACCCTCTGTTTGTAAAGTCTGCAAGTGGATATTTGGACTTCTTAGATGCCTTCGTTGGAAACGGGATTTCTTCATATAATGCTAGAGGGAAGAATTCTTAGTAACTTCTTTGTGTTGTGTGTATTCAACTGACAGAGTTGAACCTTCCTTTAGACAGAGCAGATTCGAAACACTCTTTTTCTGCAATTTGCAAGTGGAGACTTCAAGCGCTTTGAGGCCAAAGGCAGAAAAGGAAATATCTTCGTATAAAAACCCGACAGAATCATTCTCAGAAACTGCTCTGTGATGTGTGCGTTCAACTCACAGAGTTTAACTTTTCTTTTCATTCAGCAGTTTGGAAACACTCTGTTTGTAAAGTCTGCAAGTGGATATCTTGGCCTCTTAGAGGCCTTCGTTGGAAACGGGTTTTTTCATGTAAGGTTAGACAGAGGAATTCCCAGTAACTTCCTTGTGTTGTGTGCATTCAACTCACAGAGTTGAATGATTCTTTACACAGAGCAGATTTGAGACACTCTTTGGGTGGAATTTGTAAGTGGAGAATTCAGCCGCTTTGAGGTCAACGGTAGAAAAGGAAATATCTTCGTATAAAAACTAGACTGAATGATTCTCAGAAACTGTTTTGTGATGTGTGGGTTCAACTCACAGATTTTAACCTTTCTTTTCACAGAGCAGTTAGGAAACACTCTGTTTGTAAAGTCTGCAAGTGGATATTCAGTCCTCTTTGAGGCCTTCGTTGGAAACGGGATTTCTTCACATTATGCTAGACAGAAGAAATCTCAGTAACTTCCTTGTGGTGTGTGTATTCAACTCACAGAGTTGAACAATCCTTTACACAGAGCAGATTTGAAACACTCTTTTTCTGGAATTTGCAAGTGGAGATTTCAGCCGCTTTGAGGTCAATGTTAGAAAAGGAAATATCTTCGTATAAAAACTAGACAGAATGATTCTCAGAAAATGTTTTGTGATGTGTGCGTTCAACTCACAGAGTTTAACCTTTCTTTTCATAGAGCAGTTAGGAAACACTCTGTTTGGGAACTCTGCCAGTGGATATTCGGACCTCTTTGAGGCCTTCGTTGGAAACGGGATTTCTTCATATTATGCTTGACAGAAGAATTTCTCAGTAACTTCTTTGTGTTGTGTGTATGCAACTCACAGAGTTCAACCTTCCTTTAGACAGAGCAGATTTGAAACCCTCTTTTTGTGGAATTTGCAAGTGGAGATTTCAAGCGCTTCGATGCCAATGGTAGAAAAGGAAATATCTTCGTATAAAAACAAGACAAACTCGTTCCAAGACACTGCGTAATGATGTGTGTGTTTAACTCACAGAGTTTCACCTTTCTCTTCATACAGCATTCTGGAAACCCTCTGTTTGTAAAGTCTGCAAGTGGATATTTGGACCTCTTAGATGCCTTCGTTGGAAACGGGATTTCTTCATATAATGCTAGAGGGAAGAATTCTTAGTAACTTCTTTGTGTTGTGTGTATTCAACTGACAGAGTTGAACCTTCCTTTAGACAGAGCAGATTTGAAAGTCTCTTTTTGTGGAATTTGCAAGTGGAGATTTCAAGCGCTTTGAGGCCAAAAGCAGAAAAGGAAATATTTTCCTATAAAAACTAGACAGAATCTTTCTCAGAAACTGCTCTGGGATGTGTGCGTTCAACTCACAGAGTTTAACTTTTCTTTTCATTCAGCAGTTTGGAAACACTCTGTTTGGAAAGTCTGCACGTGGATATTTTGACCTCTTTGAGGCCTTCGTTGGAAACGGGTTTTTTTCATGTAACGCTAGACAGAAGAAATCTCAGTAAATTCCCTTGTGTTGTGTGTATTCAACTGACAGAGTTGAACCTTCCTTTAGACAGAGCAGATTCGAAACACTCTTTTTCTGCAATTTGCAAGTGGAGACTTCAAGCGCTTTGAGGCCAAAGGCAGAAAAGGAAATATCTTCGTATAAAAACCCGACAGAATCATTCTCAGAAACTGCTCTGTGATGTGTGCGTTCAACTCACAGAGTTTAACTTTTCTTTTCATTCAGCAGTTTGGAAACACTCTGTTTGTAAAGTCTGCAAGTGGATATCTTGGCCTCTTAGAGGCCTTCGTTGGAAGCGGGTTTTTTCATGTAAGGATAGACAGAGGAATTCCCAGTAACTTCCTTGTGTTGTGTGCATTCAACTCACAGAGTTGAATGATTCTTTACACAGAGCAGATTTGAGACACTCTTTTGGTGGAATTTGTAAGTGGAGAATTCAGCCGCTTTGAGGTCAACGGTAGAAAAGGAAATATCTTCATATAAAAACTAGACAGAATGATTCTCAGAAACTGTTTTGTGATGTGTGCTTTCAACTCACAGAGTTTAACCTTTCTTTTCAAAGAGCAGTTAGGAAACACTCTGTTTGTAAAGTCTGCAAGTGGATATTCAGACCTCTTTGAGGCCTTCGTTGGAAACGGGATTTCTTCATATTATGCTAGACAGATGAATTCTCAGTAACTTCCTTGTGTTGTGTGTATTCAACTCACAGAGTTGAACGATCCTTTACACAGAGCAGATTTGAAACACTGTTTTTCTGGAATTTGCAAGTGGAGATTTCAGCCGCTTTGAGGTCAATGGTAGAAAAGGAAATATCTTCGTATAAAAACTAGACAGAATGATTCTCAGAAACTCCTTTGTGATGTGTGCGTTCAACTCACAGAGTTTAACCTTTCTTTTCATACAGCATTCTGGAAACCCTGTGTTTGTAAAGTCTGCAAGTGGATATTTGGACCTCTTAGATGCCTTCGTTGGAAACGGGATTTCTTCATATAATGCTAGAGGGAAGAATTCTTAGTAACTTCTTTGTGTTGTGTGTATTCAACTGACAGAGTTGAACCTTCCTTTAGACAGAGCAGATTTGAAAGTCTCTTTTTGTGGAATTTGCAAGTGGAGATTTCAAGCGCTTTGAGGCCAAAAGCAGAAAAGGAAATATTTTCCTATAAAAACTCGACAGAATCTTTCTCAGAAACTGCTCTGGGATGTGTGCGTTCAACTCACAGAGTTTAACTTTTCTTTTCATTCAGCAGTTTGGAAACACTCTGTTTGGAAAGTCTGCACGTGGATATTTTGACCTCTTTGAGGCCTTCGTTGGAAACGGGTTTTTTTCATGTAAGGCTAGACAGAAGAAATCTCAGTAACTTCCTTGTGTTGTGTGTATTCAACTGACAGAGTTGAACCTTCCTTTAGACAGAGCAGATTCGAAACACTCTTTTTCTGCAATTTGCAAGTGGAGACTTCAAGCGCTTTGAGGCCAAAGGCAGAAAAGGAAATATCTTCGTATAAAAACCCGACAGAATCATTCTCAGAAACTGCTCTGTGATGTGTGCGTTCAACTCACAGAGTTTAACTTTTCTTTTCATTCAGCAGTTTGGAAACACTCTGTTTGTAAAGTCTGCAAGTGGATATCTTGGCCTCTTAGAGGCCTTCGTTGGAAACGGGTTTTTTCATGTAAGGTTAGACAGAGGAATTCCCAGTAACTTCCTTGTGTTGTGTGCATTCAACTCACAGAGTTGAATGATTCTTTACACAGAGCAGATTTGAGACACTCTTTTGGTGGAATTTGTAAGTGGAGAATTCAGCCGCTTTGAGGTCAACGGTAGAAAAGGAAATATCTTCGTATAAAAACTAGACAGAATGATTCTCAGAAACTCCTTTGTGATGTGTGCGTTCAACTCACAGAGTTTAACCTTTCTTTTCACAGAGCAGTTAGGAAACACTCTGTTTGTGAAGCCTGCCAGTGGATATTCGGACCTCTTTGAGGCCTTCGTTGGAAACGGGATTTCTTCATATTATGCTAGACAGAAGATTTCTCAGTAACTTCTTTGTGTTGTGTGTATGCAACTCACAGAGTTCAACCTTCCTTTAGAGAGAGCAGATTTGAAACACTCTTTTTGTGGAATTTGCAAGTGGAGATTTCAAGCGCTTCGATGCCAATGGTAGAAAAGGAAATATCTTCGTATAAAAACAAGACAAACTCGTTCCCAGACACTGCGTAGTGATGTGTGTGTTTAACTCACAGAGTTTCACCTTTCTTTTCATACAGCATTCTGGAAACCCTGTGTTTGTAAAGTCTGCAAGTGGATATTTGGACCTCTTAGATGCCTTCGTTGGAAACGGGATTTCTTCATATAATGCTAGAGGGAAGAATTCTTAGTAACTTCTTTGTGTTGTGTGTATTCAACTGACAGAGTTGAACCTTCCTTTAGACAGAGCAGATTTGAAAGTCTCTTTCTGTGGAATTTGCAAGTGGAGATTTCAAGCGCTTTGAGGCCAAAGGCAGAAAAGGAAATATTTTCCTATAAAAACTCGACAGAATCTTTCTCAGAAACTGCTCTGGGATATGTGCGTTCAACTCACAGAGTTTAACTTTTCTTTTCATTCAGCAGTTTGGAAACACTCTGTTTGGAAAGTCTGCACGTGGATATTTTGACCTCTTTGAGGCCTTCGTTGGAAACGGGTTTTTTTCATGTAAGGCTAGACAGAAGAAATCTCAGTAACTTCCTTGTGTTGTGTGTATTCAACTGACAGAGTTGAACCTTCCTTTAGACAGAGCAGATTCGAAACACTCTTTTTCTGCAATTTGCAAGTGGAGACTTCAAGCGCTTTGAGGCCAAAGGCAGAAAAGGAAATATCTTCGTATAAAAACCCGACAGAATCATTCTCAGAAACTGCTCTGTGATGTGTGCGTTCAACTCACAGAGTTTAACTTTTCTTTTCATTCAGCAGTTTGGAAACACTCTGTTTGTAAAGTCTGCAAGTGGATATCTTGGCCTCTTAGAGGCCTTCGTTGGAAACGGGTTTTTTCATGTAAGGTTAGACAGAGGAATTCCCAGTAACTTCCTTGTGTTGTGTGCATTCAACTCACAGAGTTGAATGATTCTTTACACAGAGCAGATTTGAGACACTCTTTTGGTGGAATTTGTAAGTGGAGAATTCAGCTGCTTTGAGGTCAACGGTAGAAAAGGAAATATCTTCGTATAAAAACTAGACAGAATGATTCTCAGAAACTGTTTTGTGATGTGTGCGTTCAACTCACAGAGTTTAACCTTTCTTTTCAAAGAGCAGTTAGGAAACACTCTGTTTGTAAAGTCTGCAAGTGGATATTCAGACCTCTTTGAGGCCTTCGTTGGAAACGGGATTTCTTCATATTATGCTAGACAGATGAATTCTCAGTAACTTCCTTGTGTTGTGTGTATTCAACTCACAGAGTTGAACGATCCTTTACACAGAGCAGATTTGAAACACTGTTTTTCTGGAATTTGCAAGTGGAGATTTCAGCCGCTTTGAGGTCAATGGTAGAAAAGGAAATATCTTCGTATAAAAACTAGACAGAATGATTCTCAGAAACTCCTTTGTGATGTGTGCGTTCAACTCACAGGGTTTAACCTTTCTTTTCACAGAGCAGTTAGGAAACACTCTGTTTGTGAAGCCTGCCAGTGGATATTCGGACCTCTTTGAGGCCTTCGTTGGAAACGGGATTTCTTCATATTATGCTAGACAGAAGATTTCTCAGTAACTTCTTTGTGTTGTGTGTATGCAACTCACAGAGTTCAACCTTCCCTTAGACAGAGCAGATTTGAAACACTCTTTTTGTGGAATTTGCAAGTGGAGATTTCAAGCGCTTCGATGCCAATGGTAGAAAAGGAAATATCTTCGTATAAAAACAAGACAAACTCGTTCCCAGACACTGCGTAGTGATGTGTGTGTTTAACTCACAGAGTTTCACCTTTCTTTTCATACAGCATTCTGGAAACCCTGTGTTTGTAAAGTCTGCAAGTGGATATTTGGACCTCTTAGATGCCTTCGTTGGAAACGGGATTTCTTCATATAATGCTAGAGGGAAGAATTCTTAGTAACTTCTTTGTGTTGTGTGTATTCAACTGACAGAGTTGAACCTTCCTTTAGACAGAGCAGATTTGAAAGTCTCTTTTTGTGGAATTTGCAAGTGGAGATTTCAAGCGCTTTGAGGCCAAAAGCAGAAAAGGAAATATTTTCCTATAAAAACTAGACAGAATCATTCTCAGAAACTGCTCTGTGATGTGTGTGTTCAACTCACAGAGTTTAACTTTCTTTTCATTCAGCAGTTTGGAAACACTCTGTTTGGAAAGTCTGCACGTGGATATTTTGACCTCTTTGAGGCCTTCGTTGGAAACGGGTTTTTTTCATGTAAGGCTAGACAGAAGAAATCTCAGTAACTTCCTTGTGTTGTGTGTATTCAACTGACAGAGTTGAACCTTCCTTTAGACAGAGCAGATTCGAAACACTCTTTTTCTGCAATTTGCAAGTGGAGACTTCAAGCGCTTTGAGGCCAAAGGCAGAAAAGGAAATATCTTCGTATAAAAACCCGACAGAATCATTCTCAGAAACTGCTCTGTGATGTGTGCGTTCAACTCACAGAGTTTAACTTTTCTTTTCATTCAGCAGTTTGGAAACACTCTGTTTGTAAAGTCTGCAAGTGGATATCTTGGCCTCTTAGAGGCCTTCGTTAGAAACGGGTTTTTTCATGTAAGGTTAGACAGAGGAATTCCCAGTAACTTCCTTGTGTTGTGTGCATTCAACTCACAGAGTTGAATGATTCTTTACACAGAGCAGATTTGAGACACTCTTTTGGTGGAATTTGTAAGTGGAGAATTCAGCTGCTTTGAGGTCAACGGTAGAAAAGGAAATATCTTCGTATAAAAACTAGACAGAATGATTCTCAGAAACTGTTTTGTGATGTGTGCGTTCAACTCACAGAGTTTAACCTTTCTTTTCAAAGAGCAGTTAGGAAACACTCTGTTTGTAAAGTCTGCAAGTGGATATTCAGACCTCTTTGAGGCCTTCGTTGGAAACGGGATTTCTTCATATTATGCTAGACAGATGAATTCTCAGTAACTTCCTTGTGTTGTGTGTATTCAACTCACAGAGTTGAACGATCCTTTACACAGAGCAGATTTGAAACACTGCTTTTCTGGAATTTGCAAGTGGAGATTTCAGCCGCTTTGAGGTCAATGGTAGAAAAGGAAATATCTTCGTATAAAAACTAGACAGAATGATTCTCAGAAACTCCTTTGTGATGTGTGCGTTCAACTCACAGAGTTTAACCTTTCTTTTCACAGAGCAGTTAGGAAACACTCTGTTTGTGAAGCCTGCCAGTGGATATTCGGACCTCTTTGAGGCCTTCGTTGGAAACGGGATTTCTTCATATTATGCTATTCAGAAGATTTCTCAGTAACTTCTTTGTGTTGTGTGTATGCAACTCACAGAGTTCAACCTTCCTTTAGACAGAGCAGATTTGAAACACTCTTTTTGTGGAATTTGCAAGTGGAGATTTCAAGCGCTTCGATGCCAATGGTAGAAAAGGAAATATCTTCGTATAAAAACAAGACAAACTCGTTCCCAGACACTGCGTAGTGATGTGTGTGTTTAACTCACAGAGTTTAACCTTTCTTTTCATACGGCATTCTGGAAACCCTCTGTTTGTAAAGTCTGCAAGTGCATATTTGGACCTCTTAGATGCCTTCGTTGGAAACGGGATTTCTTCATATAATGCTAGAGGGAAGAATTCTTAGTAACTTCTTTGTGTTGTGTGTATTCAACTGACAGAGTTGAACCTTCCTTTAGACAGAGCAGATTTGAAAGTCTCTTTTTGTGGAATTTGCAAGTGGAGATTTCAAGCGCTTTGAGGCCAAAAGCAGAAAAGGAAATATTTTCCTATAAAAACTAGACAGAATCTTTCTCAGAAACTGCTCTGTGATGTGTGCGTTCAACTCACAGAGTTTAACTTTTCTTTTCATTCAGCAGTTTGGAAACACTCTGTTTGTAAAGTCTGCAAGTGGATATCTTGGCCTCTTAGAGGCCTTCGTTGGAAACGGGTTTTTTCATGTAAGGATAGACAGAGGAATTCCCAGTAACTTCCTTGTGTTGTGTGCATTCAACTCACAGAGTTGAATGAGTCTTTACACAGAGCAGATTTGAGACACTCTTTTGGTGGAATTTGTAGGTGGAGAATTCAGCCGCTTTGAGGTCAACGGTAGAAAAGGAAATATCTTCGTATAAAAACTAGACAGAATGATTCTCAGAAACTGTTTTGTGATGTGTGCGTTCAACTCACAGAGTTTAACCTTTCTTTTCAAAGAGCAGTTAGGAAACACTCTGTTTGTAAAGTCTGCAAGAGGATATTCAGACCTCTTTGAGGCCTTCGTTGGAAACGGGATTTCTTCATATTATGCTAGACAGATGAATTCTCAGTAACTTCCTTGTGTTGTGTTTATTCAACTCACAGAGTTGAACGATCCTTTACACAGAGCAGATTTGAAACACTGTTTTTCTGGAATTTGCAAGTGGAGATTTCAGCCGCTTTGAGGTCAATGGTAGAAAAAGAAATATCTTCGTATAAAAACTAGACAGAATGATTCTCAGAAACTCCTTTGTGATGTGTGCGTTCAACTCACAGAGTTTAACCTTTCTTTTCACAGAGCAGTTAGGAAACACTCTGTTTGTGAAGCCTGCCAGTGGATATTCGGACCTCTTTGAGGCCTTCGTTGGAAACGGGATTTCTTCATATTATGCTAGACAGATTTCTCAGTAACTACTTTGTGTTGTGTGTATGCAACTCACAGAGTTCATCCTTCCCTTAGACAGAGCAGATTTGAAACACTCTTTTTGTGGAATTTGCAAGTGGAGATTTCAAGCGCTTCGACGCCAATGGTAGAAAAGGAAATATCTTCGTATAAAAACAAGACAAACTCGTTCCCAGACACTGCGTAGTGATGTGTGTGTTTAACTCACAGAGTTTAACCTTTCTTTTCATACAGCATTCTGGAAACCCTGTGTTTGTAAAGTCTGCAAGTGGATATTTGGACCTCTTAGATGCCTTCGTTGGAAACGGGATTTCTTCATATAATGCTAGAGGGAAGAATTCTTAGTAACTTCTTTGTGTTGTGTGTATTCAACTGACAGAGTTGAACCTTCCTTTAGACAGAGCAGATTTGAAAGTCTCTTTTTGTGGAATTTGCAAGTGGAGATTTCAAGCGCTTTGAGGCCAAAAGCAGAAAAGGAAATATTTTCCTATAAAAACTAGACAGAATCTTTCTCAGAAACTGCTCTGGGATGTGTGCGTTCAACTCACAGAGTTTAACTTTTCTTTTCATTCAGCAGTTTGGAAACACTCTGTTTGGAAAGTCTGCACGTGGATATTTTGACCTCTTTGAGGCCTTCGTTGGAAACGGGTTTTTTTCATGTAAGGCTAGACAGAAGAAATCTCAGTAACTTCCTTGTGTTGTGTGTATTCAACTGACAGAGTTGAACCTTCCTTTAGACAGAGCAGATTCGAAACACTCTTTTTCTGCAATTTGCAAGTGGAGACTTCAAGCGCTTTGAGGCCAAAGGCAGAAAAGGAAATATCTTCGTATAAAAACCCGACAGAATCATTCTCAGAAACTGCTCTGTGATGTGTGCGTTCAACTCACAGAGTTTAACTTTTCTTTTCATTCAGCAGTTTGGAAACACTCTGTTTGTAAAGTCTGCAAGTGGATATCTTGGCCTCTTAGAGGCCTTCGTTGGAAACGGGTTTTTTCATGTAAGGTTAGACAGAGGAATTCCCAGTAACTTCCTTGTGTTGTGTGCATTCAACTCACAGAGTTGAATGATTCTTTACACAGAGCAGATTTGAGACACTCTTTTGGTGGAATTTGTAAGTGGAGAATTCATCCGCTTTGAGGTCAACGGTAGAAAAGGAAATATCTTCGTATAAAAACTAGACAGAATGATTCTCAGAAACTGTTTTGTGATGTGTGCGTTCAACTCACAGAGTTTAACCTTTCTTTTCAAAGAGCAGTTAGGAAACACTCTGTTTGTAAAGTCTGCAAGTGGATATTCAGACCTCTTTGAGGCCTTCGTTGGAAACGGGATTTCTTCATATTATGCTAGACAGATGAATTCTCAGTAACTTTCCTTGTGTTGTGTGTATTCAACTCACAGAGTTGAACGATCCTTTACACAGAGCAGATTTGAAACACTGTTTTTCTGGAATTTGCAAGTGGAGATTTCAGCCGCTTTGAGGTCAATGGTAGAAAAGGAAATATGCTTCGTATAAAAACTAGACAGAATGATTCTCAGAAACTCCTTTGTGATGTGTGCGTTCAACTCACAGAGTTTAACCTTTCTTTTCACAGAGCAGTTAGGAAACACTCTGTTTGTGAAGCCTGCCAGTGGATATTCGGACCTCTTTCAGGCCTTCGTTGGAAACGGGATTTCTTCATATTATGCTAGACAGAAGATTTCTCAGTAACTTCTTTGTGTTGTGTGTATGCAAATCACAGAGTTCAACCTTCCTTTAGACAGAGCAGATTTGAAACACTCTTTTTGTGGAATTTGCAAGTGGAGATTTCAAGCGCTTCGATGCCAATGGTAGAAAAGGAAATATCTTCGTATAAAAACAAGACAAACTCGTTCCCAGACACTGCGTAGTGATGTGTGTGTTTAACTCACAGAGTTTAACCTTTCTTTTCATACAGCATTCTGGAAACCCTCTGTTTGTAAAGTCTGCAAGTGGATATTTGGACCTCTTAGATGCCTTCGTTGGAAACGGGATTTCTTCATATAATGCTAGAGGGAAGAATTCTTAGTAACTTCTTTGTGTTGTGTGTATTCAACTGACAGAGTTGAACCTTCCTTTAGACAGAGCAGATTTGAAAGTCTCTTTTTGTGGAATTTGCAAGTGGAGATTTCAAGCGCTTTGAGGCCAAAAGCAGAAAAGGAAATATTTTCCTATAAAAACTAGACAGAATCTTTCTCAGAAACTGCTCTGGGATGTGTGCGTTCAACTCACAGAGTTTAACTTTTCTTTTCATTCAGCAGTTTGGAAACACTCTGTTTGGAAAGTCTGCACGTGGATATTTTGACCTCTTTGAGGCCTTCGTTGGAAACGGGTTTTTTTCATGTAACGCTAGACAGAAGAAATCTCAGTAACTTCCTTGTGTTATGTGTATTCAACTGACAGAGTTGAACCTTCCTTTAGACAGAGCAGATTCGAAACACTCTTTTTCTGCAATTTGCAAGTGGAGACTTCAAGCGCTTTGAGGCCAAAGGCAGAAAAGGAAATATCTTCGTATAAAAACCCGACAGAATCATTCTCAGAAACTGCTCTGTGATGTGTGCGTTCAACTCACAGAGTTTAACTTTTCTTTTCATTCAGCAGTTTGGAAACACTCTGTTTGTAAAGTCTGCAAGTGGATATCTTGGCCTCTTAGAGGCCTTCGTTGGAAACGGGTTTTTTCATGTAAGGTTAGACAGAGGAATTCCCAGTAACTTCCTTTTGTTGTGTGCATTCAACTCACAGAGTTGAATGATTCTTTACACAGAGCAGATTTGAGACACTCTTTTGTTGGAATTTGTAAGTGGAGAATTCAGCTGCTTTGAGGTCAACGGTAGAAAAGGAAATATCTTCGTATAAAAACTAGACAGAATGATTCTCAGAAACTGTTTTGTGATGTGTGCGTTCAACTCACAGAGTTTAACCTTTCTTTTCAAAGAGCAGTTAGGAAACACTCTGTTTGTAAAGTCTGCAAGTGCATATTCAGACCTCTTTGAGGCCTTCGTTGGAAACGGGATTTCTTCATATTATGCTAGACAGAAGAATTCTCAGTAACTTCCTTGTGTTGTGTGTATTCAACTCACAGAGTTGAACGATCCTTTACACAGAGCAGATTTGAAACACTCTTTTTCTGGAATTTGCAAGTGGAGATTTCAGCCGCTTTGAGGTCAATGGTAGAAAAGGAAATATCTTCGTATAAAAACTAGACAGAATGATTCTCAGAAACTCCTTTGTGATGTGTGCGTTCAACTCACAGAGTTTAACCTTTCTTTTCACAGAGCAGTTAGGAAACACTCTGTTTGTGAAGCCTGCCAGTGGATATTCGGACCTCTTTGAGGCCTTCGTTGGAAACGGGATTTCTTCATATTATGCTAGACAGAAGATTTCTCAGTAACTTCTTTGTGTTGTGTGTATGCAACTCACAGAGTTCAACCTTCCTTTAGACAGAGCAGATTTGAAACACTCTTTTTGTGGAATTTGCAAGTGGAGATTTCAAGCGCTTCGATGCCAATGGTAGAAAAGGAAATATCTTCGTATAAAAACAAGACAAACTCGTTCCCAGACACTGCGTAGTGATGTGTGTGTTTAACTCACAGAGTTTAACCTTTCTTTTCATAAAGCATTCTGGAAACCCTCTGTTTGTAAAGTCTGCAAGTGGATATTTGGACCTCTTAGATGCCTTCGTTGGAAACGGGATTTCTTCATATAATGCTAGAGGGAAGAATTCTTAGTAACTTCTTTGTGTTGTGTGTATTCAACTGACAGAGTTGAACCTTCCTTTAGACAGAGCAGATTTGAAAGTCTCTTTTTGTGGAATTTGCAAGTGGAGATTTCAAGCGCTTTGAGGCCAAAAGCAGAAAAGGAAATATTTTCCTATAAAAACTAGACAGAATCTTTCTCAGAAACTGCTCTGGGATGTGTGCGTTCAACTCACAGAGTTTAACTTTTCTTTTCATTCAGCAGTTTGGAAACACTCTGTTTGGAAAGTCTGCACGTGGATATTTTGACCTCTTTGAGGCCTTCGTTGGAAACGGGTTTTTTTCATGTAACGCTAGACAGAAGAAATCTCAGTAAATTCCCTTGTGTTGTGTGTATTCAACTGACAGAGTTGAACCTTCCTTTAGACAGAGCAGATTCGAAACACTCTTTTTCTGCAATTTGCAAGTGGAGACTTCAAGCGCTTTGAGGCCAAAGGCAGAAAAGGAAATATCTTCGTATAAAAACCCGACAGAATCATTCTCAGAAACTGCTCTGTGATGTGTGCGTTCAACTCACAGAGTTTAACTTTTCTTTTCATTCAGCAGTTTGGAAACACTCTGTTTGTAAAGTCTGCAAGTGGATATCTTGGCCTCTTAGAGGCCTTCGTTGGAAACGCGTTTTTTCATGTAAGGTTAGACAGAGGAATTCCCAGTAACTTCCTTGTGTTGTGTGCATTCAACTCACAGAGTTGAATGATTCTTTACACAGAGCAGATTTGAGACACTCTTTTGGTGGAATTTGTAAGTGGAGAATTCAGCCGCTTTGAGGTCAACGGTAGAAAAGGAAATATCTTCGTATAAAAACTAGAAAGAATGATTCTCAGAAACTGTTTTGTGATGTGTGCGTTCAACTCACAGAGTTTAACCTTTCTTTTCAAAGAGCAGTTAGGAAACACTCTGTTTGTAAAGTCTGCAAGTGGATATTCAGACCTCTTTGAAGCCTTCGTTGGAAACGGGATTTCTTCATATTATGCTAGACAGATGAATTCTCAGTAACTTCCTTGTGTTGTGTGTATTCAACTCACAGAGTTAAACGATCCTTTACACAGAGCAGATTTGAAACACTGTTTTTCTGGAATTTGCAAGTGGAGATTTCAGCCGCTTTGAGGTCAATGGTAGAAAAGGAAATATCTTCGTATAAAAACTAGACAGAATGATTCTCAGAAACTCCTTTGTGATGTGTGCGTTCAACTCACAGAGTTTAACCTTTCTTTTCACAGAGCAGTTAGGAAACACTCTGTTTGTGAAGCCTGCCAGTGGATATTCGGACCTCTTTGAGGCCTTCGTTGGAAACGGGATTTCTTCATATTATGCTAGACAGAAGATTTCTCAGTAACTTCTTTGTGTTGTGTGTATGCAACTCACAGAGTTCAACCTTCCTTTAGACAGAGCAGATTTGAAACACTCTTTTTGTGGAATTTGCAAGTGGAGATTTCAAGCGCTTCGATGCCAATGGTAGAAAAGGAAATATCTTCGTATAAAAACAAGACAAACTCGTTCCCAGACACTGCGTAGTGATGTGTGTGTTTAACTCACAGAGTTTAACCTTTCTTTTCATACAGCATTGTGGAAACCCTCTGTTTGTAAAGTCTGCAAGTGGATATTTGGACCTCTTAGATGCCTTCGTTGGAAACGGGATTTCTTCATATAATGCTAGAGGGAAGAATTCTTAGTAACTTCTTTGTGTTGTGTGTATTCAACTGACAGAGTTGAACCTTCCTTTAGACAGAGCAGATTTGAAAGTCTCTTTTTGTGGAATTTGCAAGTGGAGATTTCAAGCGCTTTGAGGCCAAAAGCAGAAAAGGAAATATTTTCCTATAAAAACTAGACAGAATCTTTCTCAGAAACTGCTCTGGGATGTGTGCGTTCAACTCACAGAGTTTAACTTTTCTTTTCATTCAGCAGTTTGGAAACACTCTGTTTGGAAAGTCTGCACGTGGATATTTTGACCTCTTTGAGGCCTTCGTTGGAAACGGGTTTTTTTCATGTAAGGCTAGACAGAAGAAATCTCAGTAACTTCCTTGTGTTGTGTGTATTCAACTGACAGAGTTGAACCTTCCTTTAGACAGAGCAGATTCGAAACACTCTTTTTCTGCAATTTGCAAGTGGAGACTTCAAGCGCTTTGAGGCCAAAGGCAGAAAAGGAAATATCTTCGTATAAAAACCCGACAGAATCATTCTCAGAAACTGCTCTGTGATGTGTGCGTTCAACTCACAGAGTTTAACTTTTCTTTTCATTCAGCAGTTTGGAAACACTCTGTTTGTAAAGTCTGCAAGTGGATATCTTGGCCTCTTAGAGGCCTTCGTTGGAAACGGGTTTTTTCATGTAAGGTTAGACAGAGGAATTCCCAGTAACTTCCTTGTGTTGTGTGCATTCAACTCACAGAGTTGAATGATTCTTTACACAGAGCAGATTTGAGACACTCTTTTGGTGGAATTTGTAAGTGGAGAATTCAGCTGCTTTGAGGTCAACGGTAGAAAAGGAAATATCTTCGTATAAAAACTAGACAGAATGATTCTCAGAAACTGTTTTGTGATGTGTGCGTTCAACTCACAGAGTTTAACCTTTCTTTTCAAAGAGCAGTTAGGAAACACTCTGTTTGTAAAGTCTGCAAGTGGATATTCAGACCTCTTTGAGGCCTTCGTTGGAAACGGGATTTCTTCATATTATGCTAGACAGATGAATTCTCAGTAACTTCCTTGTGTTGTGTGTATTCAACTCACAGAGTTGAACGATCCTTTACACAGAGCAGATTTGAAACACTGTTTTTCTGGAATTTGCAAGTGGAGATTTCAGCCGCTTTGAGGTCAATGGTAGAAAAAGAAATATCTTCGTATAAAAACTAGACAGAATGATTCTCAGAAACTCCTTTGTGATGTGTGCGTTCAACTCACAGGGTTTAACCTTTCTTTTCACAGAGCAGTTAGGAAACACTCTGTTTGTGAAGCCTGCCAGTGGATATTCGGACCTCTTTGAGGCCTTCGTTGGAAACGGGATTTCTTCATATTATGCTAGACAGAAGATTTCTCAGTAACTTCTTTGTGTTGTGTGTATGCAACTCACAGAGTTCAACCTTCCTTTAGACAGAGCAGATTTGAAACACTCTTTTTGTGGAATTTGCAAGTGGAGATTTCAAGCGCTTCGATGCCAATGGTAGAAAAGGAAATATCTTCGTATAAAAACAAGACAAACTCGTTCCCAGACACTGCGTAGTGATGTGTGTGTTTAACTCACAGAGTTTCACCTTTCTTTTCATACAGCATTCTGGAAACCCTCTGTTTGTAAATTCTGCAAGTGGATATTTGGACCTCTTAGATGCCTTCGTTGGAAACGGGATTTCTTCATATAATGCTAGAGGGAAGAATTCTTAGTAACTTCTTTGTGTTGTGTGTATTCAACTGACAGAGTTGAACCTTCCTTTAGACAGAGCAGATTTGAAAGTCTCTTTTTGTGGAATTTGCAAGTGGAGATTTCAAGCGCTTTGAGGCCAAAAGCAGAAAAGGAAATATTTTCCTATAAAAACTAGACAGAATCTTTCTCAGAAACTGCTCTGGGATGTGTGCGTTCAACTCACAGAGTTTAACTTTTCTTTTCATTCAGCAGTTTGGAAACACTCTGTTTGGAAAGTCTGCACGTGGATATTTTGACCTACTTTGAGGCCTTCGTTGGAAACGGGTTTTTTTCATGTAAGGCTAGACAGAAGAAATCTCAGTAACTTCCTTGTGTTGTGTGTATTCAACTGACAGAGTTGAACCTTCCTTTAGACAGAGCAGATTCGAAACACTCTTTTTCTGCAATTTGCAAGTGGAGACTTCAAGCGCTTTGAGGCCAAAGGCAGAAAAGGAAATATCTTCGTATAAAAACCCGACAGAATCATTCTCAGAAACTGCTCTGTGATGTGTGCGTTCAACTCACAGAGTTTAACTTTTCTTTTCATTCAGCAGTTTGGAAACACTCTGTTTGTAAAGTCTGCAAGTGGATATCTTGGCCTCTTAGAGGCCTTCGTTGGAAACGGGTTTTTTCATTTAAGGTTAGACAGAGGAATTCCCAGTAACTTCCTTGTGTTGTGTGCATTCAACTCACAGAGTTGAATGATTCTTTACACAGAGCAGATTTGAGACACTCTTTTGGTGGAATTTGTAAGTGGAGAATTCAGCCGCTTTGAGGTCAACGGTAGAAAAGGAAATATCTTCGTATAAAAACTAGACAGAATGATTCTCAGAAACTGTTTTGTGATGTGTGCGTTCAACTCACAGAGTTTAACCTTTCTTTTCAAAGAGCAGTTAGGAAACACTCTGTTTGTAAAGTCTGCAAGTGGATATTCAGACCTCTTTGAGGCCTTCGTTGGAAACGGGATTTCTTCATATTATGCTAGAGAGATGAATTCTCAGTAACTTCCTTGTGTTGTGTGTATTCAACTCACAGAGTTGAACGATCCTTTACACAGAGCAGATTTGAAACACTGTTTTTCTGGAATTTGCAAGTGGAGATTTCAGCCGCTTTGAGGTCAATGGTAGAAAAGGAAATATCTTCGTATAAAAACTAGACAGAATGATTCTCAGAAACTCCTTTGTGATGTGTGCGTTCAACTCAGAGAGTTTAACCTTTCTTTTCACAGAGCAGTTAGGAAACACTCTGTTTGTGAAGCCTGCCAGTGGATATTCGGACCTCTTTGAGGCCTTCGCTGGAAACGGGATTTCTTCATATTATGCTAGACAGAAGATTTCTCAGTAACTTCTTTGTGTTGTGTGTATGCAACTCACAGAGTTCAACCTTCCTTTAGACAGAGCAGATTTGAAACACTCTTTTTGTGGAATTTGCAAGTGGAAATTTCAAGCGCATCGATGCCAATGGTAGAAAAGGAAATATCTTCGTATAAAAACAAGACAAACTCGTTCCCAGACACTGCGTAGTGATGTGTGTGTTTAACTCACAGAGTTTCACCTTTCTTTTCATACAGCATTCTGGAAACCCTGTGTTTGTAAAGTCTGCAAGTGGATATTTGGACCTCTTAGATGCCTTCGTTGGAAACGGGATTTCTTCATATAATGCTAGAGGGAAGATTTCTCAGTAACTTCTTTGTGTTGTGTGTATGCAACTCACAGAGTTCAACCTTCCTTTAGACAGAGCAGATTTGAAACACTCTTTTTGTGGAATTTGCAAGTGGAGATTTCAAGCGCTTTGAGGCCAAAAGCAGAAAAGGAAATATTTTCCTATAAAAACTAGACAGAATCTTTCTCAGAAACTGCTCTGTGATGTGTGCGTTCAACTCACAGAGTTTAACTTTTCTTTTCATTCAGCAGTTTGGAAACACTCTGTTTGTAAAGTCTGCAAGTGGATATCTTGGCCTCTTAGAGGCCTTCGTTGGAAACGGGTTTTTTCATGTAAGGATAGACAGAGGAATTCCCAGTAACTTCCTTGTGTTGTGTGCATTCAACACACAGAGTTGAATGATTCTTTACAAAGAGCAGATTTGAGACTCTCTTTTGGTGGAATTTGTAAGTGGAGAATTCAGCCGCTTTGAGGTCAACGGTAGAAAAGGAAATATCTTCGTATAAAAACTAGACAGAATGATTCTCAGAAACTGTTTTGTGATGTGTGCGTTCAACTCACAGAGTTTAACCTTTCTTTTCAAAGAGCAGTTAGGAAACACTCTGTTTGTAAAGTCTGCAAGTGGATATTCAGACCTCTTTGAGGCCTTCGTTGGAAACGGGATTTCTTCATATTATGCTAGACAGATGAATTCTCAGTAACTTCCTTGTGTTGTGTGTATTCAACTCACAGAGTTGAACGATCCTTTACACAGAGCAGATTTGAAACACTGTTTTTCTGGAATTTGCAAGTGGAGATTTCAGCCGCTTTGAGGTCAATGGTAGAAAAGGAAATATCTTCGTATAAAAACTGGACAGAATGATTCTCAGAAACTCCTTTGTGATGTGTGCGTTCAACTCACAGAGTTTAACCTTTCTTTTCACAGAGCAGTTAGGAAACACTCTGTTTGTGAAGCCTGCCAGTGGATATTCGGACCTCTTTGAGGCCTTCGTTGGAAACGGGATTTCTTCATATTTTGCAAGACAGAAGATTTCTCAGTAACTTCTTTGTGTTGTGTGTATGCACCTCACAGAGTTCAACCTTCCTTTAGACAGAGCAGATTTGAAACACTCTTTTTGTGGAATTTGCAAGTGGAGATTTCAAGCGCTTCGATGCCAATGGTAGAAAAGGAAATATCTTCGTATAAAAACAAGACAAACTCGTTCCCAGACACTGCGTAGTGATGTGTGTGTTTAACTCACAGAGTTTCACCTTTCTTTTCATACAGCATTCTGGGAACCCTCTGTTTGTAAAGTCTGCAAGTGGATATTTGGACCTCTTAGATGCCTTCGTTGGAAACGGGATTTCTTCATATAATGCTAGAGGGAAGAATTCTTAGTAACTTCTTTGTGTTGTGTGTATTCAACTGACAGAGTTGAACCTTCCTTTAGACAGAGCAGATTTGAAAGTCTCTTTTTGTGGAATTTGCAAGTGGAGATTTCAAGCGCTTTGAGGCCAAAAGCAGAAAAGGAAATATTTTCCTATAAAAACTCGACAGAATCATTCTCAGAAACTGCTCTGTGATGTGTGCGTTCAACTCACAGAGTTTAACTTTTCTTTTCATTCAGCAGTTTGGAAACACTGTTTGGAAAGTCTGCACGTGGATATTTTGACCTCTTTGAGGCCTTCGTTGGAAACGGGTTTTTTTCATGTAAGGCTAGACAGAAGAAATCTCAGTAACTTCCTTGTGTTGTGTGTATTCAACTGACAGAGTTGAACCTTCCTTTAGACAGAGCAGATTCGAAACACTCTTTTTCTGCAATTTGCAAGTGGAGACTTCAAGCGCTTTGAGGCCAAAGGCAGAAAAGGAAATATCTTCGTATAAAAACCCGACAGAATCATTCTCAGAAACTGCTCTGTGATGTGTGCGTTCAACTCACAGAGTTTAACTTTTCTTTTCATTCAGCAGTTTGGAAACACTCTGTTTGTAAAGTCTGCAAGTGGATATCTTGGCCTCTTAGAGGCCTTCGTTGGAAACGGGTTTTTTCATGTAAGGATAGACAGAGGAATTCCCAGTAACTTCCTTGTGTTGTATGCATTCAACTCACAGAGTTGAATGATTCTTTACACAGAGCAGATTTGAGACACTCTTTTGGTGGAATTTGTAAGTGGAGAATTCAGCCGCTTTGAGGTCAACGGTAGAAAAGGAAATATCTTCGTATAAAAACTAGAAAGAATGATTCTCAGAAACTGTTTTGTGATGTGTGCGTTCAACTCACAGAGTTTAACCTTTCTTTTCAGAGAGCAGTTAGGAAACACTCTGTTTGTAAAGTCTGCAAGTGGATATTCAGACCTCTTTGAGGCCTTCGTTGGAAACGGGATTTCTTCATATTATGCTAGACAGATGAATTCTCAGTAACTTCCTTGTGTTGTGTGTATTCAACTCACAGAGTTGAACGATCCTTTACACAGAGCAGATTTGAAACACTGTTTTTCTGGAATTTGCAAGTGGAGATTTCAGCCGCTTTGAGGTCAATGGTAGAAAAGGAAATATCTTCGTATAAAAACTAGACAGAATGATTCTCAGAAACTCCTTTGTGATGTGTGCGTTCAACTCACAGAGTTTAACCTTTCTTTTCACAGAGCAGTTAGGAAACACTCTGTTTGTGAAGCCTGCCAGTGGATATTCGGACCTCTTTGAGGCCTTTGTTGGAAACGGGATTTCTTCATATTACGCTAGACAGAAGATTTCTCAGTAACTTCTTTGGGTTGTGTGTATGCAACTCACAGAGTTCAACCTTCCTTTAGACAGAGCAGATTTGAAACACTCTTTTTGTGGAATTTGCAAGTGGAGATTTCAAGCGCTTCGATGCCAATGGTAGAAAAGGAAATATCTTCGTATAAAAACAAGACAAACTCGTTCCCAGACACTGCGTAGTGATGTGTGTGTTTAACTCACAGAGTTTAACCTTTCTTTTCATACAGCATTCTGGAAACCCTCTGTTTGTAAAGTCTGCAAGTGGATATTTGGACCTCTTAGATGCCTTCTTTGGAAACGGGATTTCTTCATATAATGCTAGAGGGAAGAATTCTTAGTAACTTCTTTGTGTTGTGTGTATTCAACTGACAGAGTTGAACCTTCCTTTAGACAGAGCAGATTTGAAAGTCTCTTTTTCTGGAATTTGCAAGTGGAGATTTGAAGCGCTTTGAGGCCAAAAGCAGAAAAGGAAATATTTTCCTATAAAAACTAGACAGAATCTTTCTCAGAAACTGCTCTGGGATGTGTGCGTTCAACTCACAGAGTTTAACTTTTCTTTTCATTCAGCAGTTTGGAAACACTCTGTTTGGAAAGTCTGCACGTGGATATTTTGACCTCTTTGAGGCCTTCGTTGGAAACGGGTTTTTTTCATGTAAGGCTAGACAGAAGAAATCTCAGTAACTTCCTTGTGTTGTGTGTATTCAACTGACAGAGTTGAACCCTCCTTTAGACAGAGCAGATTCGAAACACTCTTTTTCTGCAATTTGCAAGTGGAGACTTCAAGCGCTTTGAGGCCAAAGGCAGAAAAGGAAATATCTTCGTATAAAAACCCGACAGAATCATTCTCAGAAACTGCTCTGTGATGTGTGCGTTCAACTCACAGAGTTTAACTTTTCTTTTCATTCAGCAGTTTGGAAACACTCTGTTTGTAAAGTCTGCAAGTGGATATCTTGGCCTCTTAGAGGCCTTCGTTGGAAACGGGTTTTTTCATGTAAGGTTAGACAGAGGAATTCCCAGTAACTTCCTTGTGTTGTGTGCATTCAACTCACAGAGTTGAATGATTCTTTACACAGAGCAGATTTGAGACACTCTTTTGGTGGAATTTGTTAGTGGAGAATTCAGCCGCTTTGAGGTCAATGGTAGAAAAGGAAATATCTTCGTATAAAAACTAGACAGAATGATTCTCAGAAACTGTTTTGTGATGTGTGCGTTCAACTCACAGAGTTTAACCTTTCTTTTCAAAGAGCAGTTAGGAAACACTCTGTTTGTAAAGTCTGCAAGCGGATATTCAGACCTCTTTGAGACCTTCGTTGGAAACGGGATTTCTTCATATTATGCTAGACAGATGAATTCTCAGTAACTTCCTTGTGTTGTGTGTATTCAACTCACAGAGTTGAACGATCCTTTACACAGAGCAGATTTGAAACACTGTTTTTCTGGAATTTGCAAGTGGAGATTTCAGCCGCTTTGAGGTCAATGGTAGAAAAGGAAATATCTTCGTATAAAAACTAGACAGAATGATTCTCAGAAACTCCTTTGTGATGTGTGCGTTCAACTCACAGAGTTTAACCTTTCTTTTCACAGAGCAGTTAGGAAACACTCTGTTTGTGAAGCCTGCCAGTGGATATTCGGACCTCTTTGAGGCCTTCGTTGGAAACGGGATTTCTTCATATTATGCTAGACAGAAGATTTCTCAGTAACTTCTTTGTGTTGTGTGTATGCAACTCACAGAGTTCAACCTTCCTTTAGACAGAGCAGATTTGAAACACTCTTTTTGTGGAATTTGCAAGTGGAGATTTCAAGCGCTTCGATGCCAATGGTAGAAAAGGAAATATCTTCGTATAAAAACAAGACAAACTCGTTCCCAGACACTGCGTAGTGATGTGTGTGTTTAACTCACAGCAGTTTCACCTTTCTTTTCATACAGCATTCTGGAAACCCTCTGTTTGTAAAGTCTGCAAGTGGATATTTGGACCTCTTAGATGCCTTCGTTGGAAACGGGATTTCTTCATATAATGCTAGAGGGAAGATTTCTCAGTAACTTCTTTGTGTTGTGTGTATGCAACTCACAGAGTTCAACCTTCCTTTAGACAGAGCAGATTTGAAACACTCTTTTTGTGGAATTTGCAAGTGGAGATTTCAAGCGCTTTGAGGCCAAAAGCAGAAAAGGAAATATTTTCCTATAAAAACTAGACAGAATCTTTCTCAGAAACTGCTCTGTGATGTGTGCGTTCAACTCACAGAGTTTAACTTTTCTTTTCATTCAGCAGTTTGGAAACACTCTGTTTGTAAAGTCTGCAAGTGGATATCTTGGCCTCTTAGAGGCCTTCGTTGGAAACGGGTTTTTTCATGTAAGGATAGACAGAGGAATTCCCAGTAACTTCCTTGTGTTGTGTGCATTCAACTCACAGAGTTGAATGATTCTTTACACAGAGCAGATTTGAGACACTCTTTTGGTGGAATTTGTAAGTGGAGAATTCAGCCGCTTTGAGGTCAACGGTAGAAAAGGAAATATCTTCGTATAAAAACTAGACAGAATGATTCTCAGAAACTGTTTTGTGATGTGTGCGTTCAACTCACAGAGTTTAACCTTTCTTTTCAAAGAGCAGTTAGGAAACACTCTGTTTGTAAAGTCTGCAAGTGGATATTCAGACCTCTTTGAGGCCTTCGTTGGAAACGGGATTTCTTCATATTATGCTAGACAGATGAATTCTCAGTAACTTCCTTGTGTTGTGTGTATTCAACTCACAGAGTTCAACCTTCCTTTAGACAGAGCAGATTTGAAACACTCTTTTTGTGGAATTTGCAAGTGGAGATTTCAAGCGCTTCGATGCCAATGGTAGAAAAGGAAATATCTTCGTATAAAAACAAGACAAACTCGTTCCCAGACACTGCGTAGTGATGTGTGTGTTTAACTCACAGAGTTTCACCTTTCTTTTCATACAGCATTCTGGAAACCCTCTGTTTGTAAAGTCTGCAAGTGGATATTTGGACCTCTTAGATGCCTTCGTTGGAAACGGGATTTCTTCATATAATGCTAGAGGGAAGAATTCTTAGTAACTTCTTTGTGTTGTGTGTATTCAACTGACAGAGTTGAACCTTCCTTTAGACAGAGCAGATTTGAAAGTCTCTTTTTGTGGAATTTGCAAGTGGAGATTTCAAGCGCTTTGAGGCCAAAAGCAGAAAAGGAAATATTTTCCTATAAAAACTCGACAGAATCTTTCTCAGAAACTGCTCTGTGATGTGTGCGTTCAACTCACAGAGTTTAACTTTTCTTTTCATTCAGCAGTTTGGAAACACTCTGTTTGGAAAGTCTGCACGTGGATATTTTGACCTCTTTGAGGCCTTCGTTGGAAACGGGTTTTTTTCATGTAAGGCTAGACAGAAGAAATCTCAGTAACTTCCTTGTGTTGTGTGTATTCAACTGACAGAGTTGAACCTTCCTTTAGACAGAGCAGATTCGAAACACTCTTTTTCTGCAATTTGCAAGTGGAGACTTCAAGCGCTTTGAGGCCAAAGGCAGAAAAGGAAATATCTTCGTATAAAAACCCGACAGAATCATTCTCAGAAACTGCTCTGTGATGTGTGCGTTCAACTCACAGAGTTTAACTTTTCTTTTCATTCAGCAGTTTGGAAACACTCTGTTTGTAAAGTCTGCAAGTGGATATCTTGGCCTCTTAGAGGCCTTCGTTGGAAAAGGGTTTTTTCATGTAAGGTTAGACAGAGGAATTCCCAGTAACTTCCTTGTGTTGTGTGCATTCAACTCACAGAGTTGAATGATTCTTTACACAGAGCAGATTTGAGACACTCTTTTGGTGGAATTTGTTAGTGGAGAATTCAGCCGCTTTGAGGTCAACGGTAGAAAAGGAAATATCTTCGTATAAAAACTAGACAGAATGATTCTCAGAAACTTTTTTGTGATGTGTGCGTTCAACTCACAGAGTTTAACCTTTCTTTTCAAAGAGGAGTTAGGAAACACTCTGTTTGTAAAGTCTGCAAGTGGATATTCAGACCTCTTTGAGGCCTTCGTTGGAAACGGGATTTCTTCATATTATGCTAGACAGAAGCATTCTCAGTAACTTCCTTGTGTTGTGTGTATTCAACTCACAGAGTTGAACCATCCTTTACACAGAGCAGATCTGAAACACTCTTTTTGTGTAATTTGCAATTGGAGATTTCAGCCGCTTTGAGCTCAATGGTAGAAAAGGATATATCTTCTTATGAAAACTAGACAGAATGATTCTCAGAAACTCCTTTGTGATGTGTGCATTCAACTCACAGAGTTTAACCTTTCTTTTCATAGAGCAGTTAGGAAACACTCTGTTTGTGAAGTCTGCAAGTGTATATTCGCACCTCTTTAAAGCCTTCGTTGGAAATGGGATTTCTTCATATTATGCTAGAGAGAAGATTTCTCAGTAACTTCTTTGTGTTGTGTGTATGCAACTCACAGAGTTCAACCTTCCTTTAGACAGAGCAGATTTGAAACACTCTTTTTGTGGAATTTGCAAGTGGAGATTTCAAGCGCTTCGATGCCAATGGTAGAAAAGGAAATATCTTCGTATAAAACAAGACAAACTCGTTCCCAGACACTGCGTAGTGATGTGTGTGTTTAACTCACAGAGTTTAACCTTTCTTTTCATACAGCATTCTGGAAACCCTCTGTTTGTAAAGTCTGCAAGTGGATATTTGGACCTCTTAGATGCCTTCGTTGGAAACGGGATTTCTTCATATAATGCTAGAGGGAAGAATTCTTAGTAACTTCTTTGTGTTGTGTGTATTCAACTGACAGAGTTGAACCTTCCTTTAGACAGAGCAGATTTGAAAGTCTCTTTTTGTGGAATTTGCAAGTGGAGATTTCAAGCGCTTTGAGGCCAAAAGCAGAAAAGGAAATATTTTCCTATAAAAACTCGACAGAATCTTTCTCAGAAACTGCTCTGGGATGTGTGCGTTCAACTCACAGAGTTTAACTTTTCTTTTCATTCAGCAGTTTGGAAACACTCTGTTTGGAAAGTCTGCACGTGGATATTTTGACCTCTTTGAGGCCTTCGTTGGAAACGGGTTTTTTTCATGTAAGGCTAGACAGAAGAAATCTCAGTAACTTCCTTGTGTTGTGTGTATTCAACTGACAGAGTTGAACCTTCCTTTAGACAGAGCAGATTCGAAACACTCTTTTTCTGCAATTTGCAAGTGGAGACTTCAAGCGCTTTGAGGCCAAAGGCAGAAAAGGAAATATCTTCGTATAAAAACCCGACAGAATCATTCTCAGAAACTGCTCTGTGATGTGTGCGTTCAACTCACAGAGTTTAACTTTTCTTTTCATTCAGCAGTTTGGAAACACTCTGTTTGTAAAGTCTGCAAGTGGATATCTTGGCCTCTTAGAGGCCTTCGTTGGAAACGGGTTTTTTCATTTAAGGTTAGACAGAGGAATTCCCAGTAACTTCCTTGTGTTGTGTGCATTCAACTCACAGAGTTGAATGATTCTTTACACAGAGCAGATTTGAGACACTCTTTTGGTGGAATTTGTAAGTGGAGAATTCAGCCGCTTTGAGGTCAACGGTAGAAAAGGAAATATCTTCGTATAAAAACTAGACAGAATGATTCTCACAAACTGTTTTGTGATGTGTGCGTTCAACTCACAGAGTTTAACCTTTCTTTTCAAAGAGCAGTTAGGAAACACTCTGTTTGTAAAGTCTGCAAGTGGATATTCAGACCTCTTTGAGGCCTTCGTTGGAAACGGGATTTCTTCATATTATGCTAGACAGATGAATTCTCAGTAACTTCCTTGTGTTGTGTGTATTCAACTCACAGAGTTGAACGATCCTTTACACAGAGCAGATTTGAAACACTGTTTTTCTGGAATTTGCAAGTGGAGATTTCAGCCGCTTTGAGGTCAATGGTAGAAAAAGGAATATCTTCGTATAAAAACTAGACAGAATGATTCTCAGAAACTCCTTTGTGATGTGTGCGTTCAACTCACAGAGTTTAACCTTTCTTTTCACAGAGCAGTTAGGAAACACTCTGTTTGTGAAGCCTGCCAGTGGATATTCGGACCTCTTTGAGGCCTTCGTTGGAAACGGGATTTCTTCATATTATGCTAGACAGAAGATTTCTCAGTAACTTCTTTGTGTTGTGTGTATGCAACTCACAAGAGTTCAACCTTCCTTTAGACAGAGCAGATTTGAAACACTCTTTTTGTGGAATTTGCAAGTGGAGATTTCAAGCGCTTCGATGCCAATGGTAGAAAAGGAAATATCTTCGTATAAAAACAAGACAAACTCGTTCCCAGACACTGCGTAGTGATGTGTGTGTTTAACTCACAGAGTTTAACCTTTCTTTTCATACAGCATTCTGGAAACCCTGTGTTTGTAAAGTCTGCAAGTGGATATTTGGACCTCTTAGATGCCTTCGTTGGAAACGGGATTTCTTCATATAATGCTAGAGGGAAGAATTCTTAGTAACTTCTTTGTGTTGTGTGTATTCAACTGACAGAGTTGAACCTTCCTTTAGACAGAGCAGATTTGAAAGTCTCTTTTTGTGGAATTTGCAAGTGGAGATTTCAAGCGCTTTGAGGCCAAAAGCAGAAAAGGAAATATTTTCCTATAAAAACTAGACAGAATCTTTCTCAGAAACTGCTCTGGGATGTGTGCGTTCAACTCACAGAGTTTAACTTTTCTTTTCATTCAGCAGTTTGGAAACACTCTGTTTGGAAAGTCTGCACGTGGATATTTTGACCTCTTTGAGGCCTTCGTTGGAAACGGGTTTTTTTCATGTAAGGCTAGACAGAAGAAATCTCAGTAACTTCCTTGTGTTGTGTGTATTCAACTGACAGAGTTGAACCTTCCTTTAGACAGAGCAGATTCGAAACACTCTTTTTCTGCAATTTGCAAGTGGAGACTTCAAGCGCTTTGAGGCCAAAGGCAGAAAAGGAAATATCTTCGTATAAAAACCCGACAGAATCATTCTCAGAAACTGCTCTGTGATGTGTGCGTTCAACTCACAGAGTTTAACTTTTCTTTTCATTCAGCAGTTTGGAAACACTCTGTTTGTAAAGTCTGCAAGTGGATATCTTGGCCTCTTAGAGGCCTTCGTTGGAAACGGGTTTTTTCATGTAAGGTTAGACAGAGGAATTCCCAGTAACTTCCTTGTGTTGTGTGCATTCAACTCACAGAGTTGAATGATTCTTTACACAGAGCAGATTTGAGACACTCTTTTGGTGGAATTTGTAAGTGGAGAATTCAGCCGCTTTGAGGTCAACGGTAGAAAAGGAAATATCTTCGTATAAAACTAGACAGAATGATTCTCAGAAACTGTTTTTTGATGTGTGCGTTCAACTCACAGAGTTTAACCTTTCTTTTCAAAGAGCAGTTAGGAAACACTCTGTTTGTAAAGTCTGCAAGTGGATATTCAGACCTCTTTGAGGCCTTCGTTGGAAACGGGATTTCTTCATATTATGCTAGACAGATGAATTCTCAGTAACTTCCTTGTGTTGTGTGTATTCAACTCACAGAGTTGAACGATCCTTTACACAGAGCAGATTTGAAACACTGTTTTTCTGGAATTTGCAAGTGGAGATTTCAGCCGCTTTGAGGTCAATGGTAGAAAAGGAAATATCTTCGTATAAAAACTAGACAGAATGATTCTCAGAAACTCCTTTGTGATGTGTGCGTTCAACTCACAGAGTTTAACCTTTCTTTTCACAGAGCAGTTAGGAAACACTCTGTTTGTGAAGCCTGCCAGTGGATAATCGGACCTCTTTGAGGCCTTCGTTGGAAACGGGATTTCTTCATATTATGCTAGACAGAAGATTTCTCAGTAACTTCTTTGTGTTGTGTGTATGCAACTCACAGAGTTCAACCTTCCTTTAGACAGAGCAGATTTGAAACACTCTTTTTGTGGAATTTGCAAGTGGAGATTTCAAGCGCTTCGATGCCAATGGTAGAAAAGGAAATATCTTCGTATAAAAACAAGACAAACTCATTCCCAGACACTGCGTAGTGATGTGTGTGTTTAACTCACAGAGTTTCACCTTTCTTTTCATACAGCATTCTGGAAACCCTCTGTTTGTAAAGTCTGCAAGTGGATATTTGGACCTCTTAGATGCCTTCGTTGGAAACGGGATTTCTTCATATAATGCTAGAGGGAAGAATTCTTAGTAACTTCTTTGTGTTGTGTGTATTCAACTGACAGAGTTGAACCTTCCTTTAGACAGAGCAGATTTGAAAGTCTCTTTTTGTGGAATTTGCAAGTGGAGATTTCAAGCGCTTTGAGGCCAAAAGCAGAAAAGGAAATATTTTCCTATAAAAACTAGACAGAATCTTTCTCAGAAACTGCTCTGGGATGTGTGCGTTCAACTCACAGAGTTTAACTTTTCTTTTCATTCAGCAGTTTGGAAACACTCTGTTTGGAAAGTCTGCACGTGGATATTTTGACCTCTTTGAGGCCTTCGTTGGAAATGGGTGTTTTTCATGTAAGGCTAGACAGAAGAAATCTCAGTAACTTCCTTGTGTTGTGTGTATTCAACTGACAGAGTTGAACCTTCCTTTAGACAGAGCAGATTCGAAACACTCTTTTTCTGCAATTTGCAAGTGGAGACTTCAAGCGCTTTGAGGCCAAAGGCAGAAAAGGATATATCTTCGTATAAAAACCCGACAGAATCATTCTCAGAAACTGCTCTGTGATGTGTGCGTTCAACTCACAGAGTTTAACTTTTCTTTTCATTCAGCAGTTTGGAAACACTCTGTTTGTAAAGTCTGCAAGTGGATATCTTGGCCTCTTAGAGGCCTTCGTTGGAAACGGGTTTTTTCATGTAAGGTTAGACAGAGGAATTCCCAGTAACTTCCTTGTGTTGTGTGCATTCAACTCACAGAGTTGAATGATTCTTTACACAGAGCAGATTTGAGACACTCTTTTGGTGGAATTTGTAAGTGGAGAATTCAGCTGCTTTGAGGTCAACGGTAGAAAAGGAAATATCTTCGTATAAAAACTAGACAGAATGATTCTCAGAAACTGTTTTGTGATGTGTGCGTTCAACTCACAGAGTTTAACCTTTCTTTTCAAAGAGCAGTTAGGAAACACTCTGTTTGTAAAGTCTGCAAGTGGATATTCAGACCTACTTTAAAGCCTTCGTTGGAAACGGGATTTCATCATATTATGCTAGACAGATGAATTCTCAGTAACTTCCTTGTGTTGTGTGTATTCAACTCACAGAGTTGAACGATCCTTTACACAGAGCAGATTTGAAACACTGTTTTTCTGGAATTTGCAAGTGGAGATGTCAGCCGCTTTGAGGTCAATGGTAGAAAAGGAAATATCTTCGTATAAAAACTAGACAGAATGATTCTCAGAAACTCCTTTGTGATGTGTGCGTTCAACTCACAGGGTTTAACCTTTCTTTTCACAGAGCAGTTAGGAAACACTCTGTTTGTGAAGCCTGCCAGTGGATATTCGGACCTCTTTGAGGCCTTCGTTGGAAACGGGATTTCTTCATATTATGCTAGACAGAAGATTTCTCAGTAACTTCTTTGTGTTGTGTGTATGCAACTCACAGAGTTCAACCTTCCTTTAGACAGAGCAGATTTGAAACACTCTTTTTGTGGAATTTGCAAGTGGAGATTTCAAGCGCTTCGATGCCAATGGTAGAAAAGGAAATATCTTCGTATAAAAACAAGACAAACTCGTTCCCAGACACTGCGTAGTGATGTGTGTGTTTAACTCACAGAGTTTAACCTTTCTTTTCATACAGCATTTTGGAAACCCTCTGTTTGTAAAGTCTGCAAGTGGATATTTGGACCTCTTAGATGCCTTCGTTGGAAACGGGATTTCTTCATATAATGCTAGAGGGAAGAATTCTTAGTAACTTCTTTGTGTTGTGTGTATTCAACTGACAGAGTTGAACCTTCCTTTAGACAGAGCAGATTTGAAAGTCTCTTTTTGTGGAATTTGCAAGTGGAGATTTCAAGCGCTTTGAGGCCAAAAGCAGAAAAGGAAATATTTTCCTATAAAAACTAGACAGAATCATTCTCAGAAACTGCTCTGTGATGTGTGCGTTCAACTCACAGAGTTTAACTTTCTTTTCATTCAGCAGTTTGGAAACACTCTGTTTGGAAAGTCTGCACGTGGATATTTTGACCTCTTTGAGGCCTTCGTTGGAAACGGGTTTTTTTCATGTAAGGCTAGACAGAAGAAATCTCAGTAACTTCCTTGTGTTGTGTGTATTCAACTGACAGAGTTGAACCTTCTTTTAGACAGAGCAGATTCGAAACACTCTTTTTCTGCAATTTGCAAGTGGAGACTTCAAGCGCTTTGAGGCCAAAGGCAGAAAAGGAAATATTCTTCGTATAAAAACCCGACAGAATCATTCTCAGAAACTGCTCTGTGATGTGTGCGTTCACCTCACAGAGTTTAACTTTTCTTTTCATTCAGCAGTTTGGAAACACTCTGTTTGTAAAGTCTGCAAGTGGATATCTTGGCCTCTTAGAGGCCTTCGTTGGAAACGGGTTTTTTCATGTAAGGTTAGACAGAGGAATTCCCAGTAACTTTCCTTGTGTTGTGTGCATTCAACTCACAGAGTTGAATGATTCTTTACACAGAGCAGATTTGAGACACTCTTTTGGTGGAATTTGCAAGTGGAGATTTCAGCCGCTTTGAGGTCAATGGTAGAAAAGGAAATATCTTCGTATAAAAACTAGACAGAATGATTCTCAGAAACTGTTTTGTGATGTGTGCGTTCAACTCACAGAGTTTAACCTTTCTTTTCAAAGAGCAGTTAGGAAACACTCTGTTTGTAAAGTCTACAAGTGCATATTCAGACCTCTTTGAGGCCTTCGTTGGAAACGGGATTTCTTCATATTATGCTAGACAGAAGAATTCTCAGTAACTTCCTTGTGTTGTGTGTATTCAACTCACAGAGTTGAACGATCCTTTACACAGAGCAGATTTGAAACACTCTTTTTCTGGAATTTGCAAGTGGAGATTTCAGCCGCTTTGGGGTCAATGGTAGAAAAGGAAATATCTTCGTATAAAAACTAGACAGAATGATTCTCAGAAACTCCTTTGTGATGTGTGCGTTCAACTCACAGAGTTTAACCTTTCTTTTCACAGAGCAGTTAGGAAACACTCTGTTTGTGAAGTCTGCCAGTGGATATTCGGACCTCTTTGAGGCCTTCGTTGGAAACGGGATTTCTTCATATTATGCTAGACAGATTTCTCAGTAACTACTTTGTGTTGTGTGTATGCAACTCACAGAGTTCATCCTTCCCTTAGACAGAGCAGATTTGAAACACTCTTTTTGTGGAATTTGCAAGTGGAGATTTCAAGCGCTTCGACGCCAATGGTAGAAAAGGAAATATCTTCGTATAAAAACAAGACAAA